>NC_000012.12:75187400-75338915 GCF_000001405.40 Homo sapiens
CACTGGAAAATCAGTCTCATTGAATTACAGTTATAGGATATGCTCTTTTGTTCCAACCTTTTTCTTTGTCCCAATATTCTCACATATCTTCCTTCGACTGCTTGTTCCTCACTTACTGAATTATGCGGAGCTTACAGTAGCGCAGGCTGGCACTGCTAGGGAGGAGAATTATTTGCAGAAGAGATATAGCGAAGGCCAAAGAGAGTGATTGTAGGACCCAGTTAAATGTGGTGGCCAGAAGCAACCTTACTTGGAATACATTATGGAGCAGACTGTTATTTAAGTTTAATTGCCCATTTACTATTGCCTGTCTGAAAATATCACAAGTCACACCATAAATATAATAACCCGACGACTATAAATGAAAATTATGAGAACCCAAATTGCCAGAAGAATGCATATACACATGTATTTAAAAATACACCTGTAACAAAAAGATGGATTTCTATACAGCACATAAGTAGTTACTGAGTTTTCCTCAGAGTATTGCCTTTGTGTATAATTATTTAGTAATAATTAAAAGCCCTCTTTTTGTCATAGTCATACCTTGTTTCATTAAAATATACTAGGAACAGACTATCAACATGCAAACAATAGAAGTTGTATAAGCAACAGTAAAAATAGAAATAGAAGGTAATTTGAAGTATGTTGGTCCAATAACGTTTTGATGAAAATGCCATGAAATTTCACCCTTTCTTAGCCCTAGGACCACAGAAATCACCTCTGGCAAGGACCCAGCCATGTCTGTTTTGTTCTGTCAGTGTGCTACTGGATGGCCAGAGGAGTTATCGATCTTTATTTGAGCACTAACTGTTTCAAAAATTAGAATTAGAGTTACAGTAGACTCTCTACAGCACCATAAATACATATAGTTGGAAAATTTTGTGTATAGGACTAATGCTAAAACAGTGAGAAAGACTGCAATGTAAAACCACCAAAGCTTCTTTCCGAATTCACTTTAAAACACAATGTAGTGTTGTTGGATTTAGCAAATAAAAATATAAGATCCTTATTTAACATTGGGAATTTCAGATAAGGAACAATTTTTAGCATAAATGTGAACCACAATTTAGTATAGATTCTTAGATTAAAAATATTTATTTACTATATATCTGAAATTGAAAGTTAATCTGGTATCATACTTTATCTGGCAGTACATCCATAAAAAAATAACAAGGTGGCCGGGCGCGGTGGCTTACACCTGTAATCCCAGCACTTCGGGAGGCTGAGGCGGGTGGATCACGAGGTCAGGAGATCAAGACCAGCCTGGTCAACATGTGAAATCCTGTCTCTACTAAAAATACAAAAAATTAGCTGGGCATGGTGGTGCGTGCCTGTAATCCCAGCTACTCGGGAGGCTGAGGCAGGAGAATCACTTGAACCCGGAGTTGGAGGATGCAGTGAACCGAGATCATGCCACTGCACTCACTGCAGCCTGGTGACAGAGTGAGACTCCATCTCAATAAATAAATAAATAAATAAATAAATAAATAAATAAATAAATAACAAGGTGACACACTATAATAGCCCAGGAAACTCAGTACAACAATAAACTACATGGCAAAATCCAGAAGGGTTTGTATTAGTCAAAATAACTGTTGAGAATAGTTAAGAGTTGATGATCATAGTAAATTGTGCTCAAGCTCTTGAAATGAAAATAGTGAATATTGACAGGACTAGTGAAATTTTAAAACTCCCTTCAGCTTGAAAGTTAGTTGGTGCAGGCATTGTCTCTGACTAGGGAAATAACATTAGCCAAGAATCAGTCCACCCATAATGTTTTGAAGACTGGGAGCTACTTTGTAAGAGGGATGAACCCTACTTCTCCAACAATATTGTTTTTCAGTCATTAGTGTTTTGATAGTTCAGGAGGTGAAGAAAGTTACCACCATGGTCACGTTCTCTACAACCAGCGGTGTAACAGAGGACAAGGGGTACTCCTGTGCATTGTTCCTTATCATCTGACAACCATTTCAAGGAGTCACAGAACTGAGGGAAGAAAGGGGATTACAGTTGCTTCCCTTGGAGATGCATTTGTAAGTTGAAGCAGTAGAAGCCTTTGGGGTCTAGCTTACTGAAAAGTGTACTTTTCCACCTAAAAAGCAGTCAATCCACCAGTCTGTTAGGAAAACACTTCTGTAAGTACCTACTGTGTACCAACCTGTGCTAGGCATCAGTAATTAATTAAACTTGTGCTAGGCATCAGTAATTAAACCTGTGCTAGGCACCAGAATTCATTAAACCTGTGCCAGGCTTCAGTAATTCATTATTTGTCTCCTCTGTACCACTTGATCTTTCATTCCCTACACCGCATTCAGAGTGAAGTTAGGCAATGGTATCAGGAATGTTGTCTATCTTCATTCTACACAGGGTTCATATCTAATGCAATTACAGTCAAAGCAGCAATAGAGGGTTGTCAGCTGCGCTCTGCAACTTATTGGCAAAAAAGACAATTATCTTCAAAACTGTCTTCTGTAACCTCGTGGATTTTCTACCTATGAGTCGATGAAAAAGAGACTCTTCTGTCCCCACCTCTCGCCAATACAAAAATCACTTGATAAATACCACCGGTTATTAGACTAAAGATTTTGAACATTAGCCTACCATTAAGCTTGATATAGTAATAGCTATGATTTATAGAATGTTCACTTTATGTCAGGCAGTCTGCTATGCACATTAAATATGTTATCTCATCTAATCCTCATAATACCCATTTATGAGGAGGTTTTATTATGAAATTGAAAAAGAAACTTAAATTATCCATGGTTATACAACTACTATGTTGTAGGGTCATATCCTTTGATTGTCCCATAACTACCTCTCTAGGCCCTCTTTCAATAGCTCCCAGTAGCCCTCTACCTCTGGTCATGCCTATCTTCTTTCAGTTCCTTTAATTTTCTTTGCTCTCATCTCTAAGACCTCTATCCCACTAATTTCTATTTCTTAAACACCCCTTATCTCCTTTGGCTAAGTTCTGTTCCTTTATATTTCAGTGTTGTGATAGTTCAGGAGGTGATGCTAACAATCAAAGGTTATGCTTTCCTTGGGGCCTTTCCAGATCCAAGATTTTGTTTTGGGGTCTTGTCTGTGCTCACAGCATAGAAATGTTTCTATCCTCTTTGTTTGCCTACACTTTATTATTTCTAAATGTTAGATAGCAGGTTTTAATAAACAAAATTGCACATCAAAAACTTGTGTACTAAGCTAAGATAACTTTCTTATGTGAATACAACAGAAAGATATCCTCGGATATATGAAGACACACAAAAATATATTATATTCAAGCTATTTCTTAGTTCCATAAAGAAATTGGAAAATATATAGCATATTACAAAGAGATGTTTCCAAATTGACTCCAGAGAAAATAATTTCAGAAAAGCAGTAGTAGCAATTAAACAGGTATAAATATGACTGAAAATTATGACCACAAAAGTAATTACAAATTATATGTATATAGTATAAATTAAAAGATACAAGATATAGACTATTAATAACTATTATAAATTATAAACTGAATTATCATTTATATATGGCATATCCACAAATAAACTAAGACAATAAGTTTAAATAATATTTCAATCAATAAGAATTCAGTAAGATAACTATACCTATGATTAATGTACTAAAAGTAGTAGCTTACTCATATGCCATCAATGACTAATTAAAGTGTAATGGACTGCAAGACACCATTCACAATAACAACCAGGCATAGAATATTTAGGAATAACATTTAAAATGAACATGTAGGACCTATATAAAGTAAGCTATAAAATTACTTTTTGAGATCTAAAACCAGATTTAAACAAATGAAAAGGTACTATGTTCTTGCCTGTGAAGGTTAAATTTAAAAAAAATCCTACGTATGCCCTCATGGATATAATTATCTTAGAGAAAATGAATTAACTAAACTAAATTTTTAATAGTCTTTGGGGAAAAAAAGACCATTTTCTTCCTCAGGCTATTCAATATTTTCTGAATTTTCCATTGTAAAAATATTTAAATTTATGATTTAAGAAAACTTTTTGTTTTAAAAATAAATAATTTAACTATAAAGACACCTCATCTTAAAACCACAAATTCATTCTAATACTTTGTTCTGAATATTATTATTATTATTATTATTATTATTTTTTTTTTTTTTTTTTTTTTTTTTTTTTTTTGGAGACGGAGTCTCGCTCTGTCGCCCAGGCTGGACTGCGGACTGCAGTGGCGCAATCTCGGCTCACTGCAAGCTCCGCTTCCCGGGTTCACGCCATTCTCCTGCCTCAGCCTCCCGAGTAGCTGGGACTACAGGCGCCCGGCACCGCGCCCGGCTAATTTTTTGTATTTTTAGTAGAGACGGGTTTCACCTTGTTAGCCAGGATGGTCTCGATCTCCTGACCTCATGATCCACCCGCCTCGGCCTCCCAAAGTGCTGGGATTACAGGCGTGAGCCACCGCGCCCGGCCTATTATAATCTATTTTATAAATTTATTTCATCTACTATCTTACAATGGTTTTTCCTAAAACAATACAGTTTTACCTAATCTCTATAATATTATAAATGAAGACTTTTTTCATTCTATTTACATGACCGCTATAATGTACCTATGCTTCTTTAAACACCTTTCTCAGTCCTGCTATTTGCCACAGCTCAGATGGACTATCTGGGCATAATTCAGTTTTACATGTAATAGTCTTTACAGCATTTGTTTGATGAAGCATATTCTAGATAGAATGTGGAAAAATTCACCTTTGGATATTTCTAATTTATTAAATGAAACAAAGTAACAACAGTGCGATAAATAGGGATTCTTTCTTTTTCCTGCGCTCCTTGTCTAATTTCCTTGCTGCCGCAACATCCATTCTTCAGCATCTTTTCCTAGGACACGGCATCCTTCCATGAAGGCCTCGTTTCCCTGTAATTAGCAGGACAATCAGTGCCATCTATTATTGTTAGTTAGAAGCTTCTCTACATAATGGGGACTTAGCATTTGGTCCCACCGGCGATGTTTCTGTGTAAAAACTTAAAGTACACTAATATGTAAATATTGTTCCAACTTAATGGTGTACTTTCTATGGAGACTCAGAGACATTTGTTAAGCCATCAAAGTGCATGGTTCTTACAAATGTATTCTCAGTGGGTAGATAATAAATTAAGTGTCACCGTCGTCCGAGTGATCCTTTTCAAGAATTTTTCATTTACTGTTAGTCTAAAAAGCTTCTTATGGCAATGAGAAAATCACACATTATGGCTAGGCTTCTAATTTTCTCAGTAGGATTGTGTATGTATTTGGGGATCAGAATAAATTAAAAAGTGGGAAAAGAAGGTGAGCTCAAAGAAAAGAAGAAGAAACATTGCCTTTGTGGGGAAGAATCATAGAGAAATACATCATTGTAGGCAAGGAAAATCACAGAATTATTCAGATGGTGATAAAAACCTAAGCTTTAGTAATCTATCGCACAAAATGGTGACCATAATAAATAATAATGCATTATATATTTTGAAATTGCTAAAAGAGTATATTTTAAGCATTTTCACCACAAAAAAAGTATGTGAGGTGAGAAATTTATTCATTAGCCAGATTTAGTTATTTTACATTGTAAATATATATCAAAATATCACATTGTACCCTATAAATATCTACAATTTTTTTAAAACCTAGTGAGAAAATAACCAGACACTGTTCATAACTCTGGGTAAAAACAACAACAACGACAACAAAATAGTGTTCCTATACACAAGTTTATAACTAGTATGAACAAGAAGCCTATACACATATAGTCCAACTGTAGTTGAAGATAGTAAACTTATCTTCTTATCCAAATTTTATTTAAAATGGTGAAAAATAATCACAGGGATGAAAAACAGGAAAAGTTATTATTATTGGACTAGAATACTGAGATATAAAGCAAATAGGATGAAAATAATGAATACATAGGTTGGAAGTGGAGTAATGTAATTCAATATAGGTAAAGAAAAGGGGTTGGTCCTTTTCTTCCCAAGGAAATCCGGAGGAGCCTCAAATTCAGAGGCAACATGTACTAGGAGAGGGAGCTGGCTATGGGACAACTGCTCAGAAGGTCTGGAATTTCTTTCAGTGTCTGGCTATAGAATTTGCCCTTAGAATATAGCTAGCAAGAACAGCTCTATAAATAGAGTAGGGAATCAACAGAAGAGAAGACAGTTCTAAATTAGGTATGTTGGTGTGATAAAGAAAAGTGGAGCAAAATCTAAGGTACCTTCATATTTCCTCAAAGTGCATGGAGAAAAAGAAAAAGGAAAGGTAACCCCATATTGATTGAAATGCTCTAAAGTTCTATCTCCAAATAAAACTTACTTTTTTAGACCTCCACAATACCCCAATTTGCCGGCCTGCTCCTATCCACCCACCCTGAAGGGAATCCTGTGTTCTGCACAATCCTGCCAACCTACCCACAACACACTATATTCACCCAACTCTCTTTCAGAGTAAAAGATATCTGAAGAGATTCAATAGTATAAAATGCAACAACCAAGACGAGCAAATGAAAAAGAAATTCCATAGAGGGACTAGAGTTAATGCCAGAAATAAAATAGAATTTAAAGAATTTTCCAATTAGTATCTTCAGAAAGATTCACAAAGACATTATAGTCATTAAGATACAACACGCAGATATGAAAAAAAAGAGTAACCAGAAAATAAGAAAGATTCCCTGAATATTGCAAATGTGTTGTCAAAATGGAAAAATTAGGGTACTGGGTTCAATAGTGTCCCTCAAAATTCATGTCTACCCCAAACCTCAGAATTAAATTTTAGCTAATTTAACAATTAGTTAAATCAAAATGGAGCCATGCTGGGCTAGAGTGGGCCATAATCCAATTGACTATTGTCCTGATAAGAAGAGAAAACAGAGACCCATACACTGAGGGCAAGGCGAGGCCAGGGGAAGGGGATCATCATGTGAAGATGGAGATGCATCTACAGCCAAGAAACACAAAGAAACTCCAAGAATTGCAACCACCAGAAGCTAGCACTGAGTCATGAAACAGATTATCTTTTAGAACCAGTAGAAGAAACCAAGCCTGCCAAACTAGCTTCTAGCCTCCAAAACTGTAAGACGATAGGTGTCTGTTGTCTTAAGTCACCCCTTTGAAGTCATTTGGTTGTGGTGATTTGTTATGGAAGCCTTAGGAAATTAATACAGTTTAGTTAAGTGCTATAATACAATGTCTATAAAGTGACGTGGAAACTCAGAGAGAGAAATTAACTGCTTTGGAAGAGGTGTTTAAAAATATTTGATAACTAGAGAATACATGTCTTATATCCAGGAAGGGCAAAAACTGTGGTTTGAACATGACTATGCTTTTGGCAGTGGAGTTGTAAGGAAAATGACTAGGAGCATAGGTAGTAACAAGATTCTGAAGAACCATTCTATGGAATCTTAGTATGTAGTCAAGGAAAACAGATAAAGTTCTTTTAAAACAAGAAAATGGTGTGGTATATATGTGTCTTGGAAGGAATGACTGCCTTGTTTCTGAAGTCACCATCTTCCCAGTTTAATACCTGCTTTCATTTTTATTTTTCTTCCTCACTACCTTTGCTCTTTCTTCTACTTTTCTACAGTGAGTTTTATGTAAAGCAATTTTCCAAAGAGTATTTTGAACTTCAGAATCACATTATCATTTTCATTTAATCCTAGTTCAATTCAAATTTCTAGCTTTGGAATCCACATGGATTTCTACATGGGACAGGCAGTTCTGTTTCATAGAAACTGTGCAAAAACTAATATTATTTTCTTGGGCTTTAAATAAAGTAGTAGCAATATAAAGCCTGTATTTCTTGTACAGAGGATTGCTTATCTCACTAACTTGTTATGGTGGTGGGTGAATTACATTAACCAAAAATCTTAACTGGCATACTCAGCATCTAATTTCATAACCATAAAACCTATGAAGTAGCCTTCTATAATTAGGTAGTTTATACAGAAATATAAAAGAAAAAAATCACAAAATATAATACCAAATATTATAGTGTTAAATCTTGTAAAAGAATAACTAACTACTCATGAGCCAGATACCCAAATAGTAACCATTGAATCTTGAATGAGAAAGAAGTCATAAAGTTTCTCTTGTCCCATAACACAAAGAGAAACTAAGGGAACATTCTTGACTTTTCTTGTTGCCTCATTCACTCCTACCTAATTAGTCAAAACTCCTCTTCAACTGTGTCCACTTTACCATTTTACTTCATTCCTCTTGCTGCTGTCTTATTTCAAGGTTCAATGTTGTCTCCTACCACCTGTGTTACTTCAATAACACACTAAACTGTGGCCCTCTTGAAAAACTTACACTCACCCTCTCCAACCCAATCCCCTCTTCAGCTACAAAGGTTTCAGAATGATATTGCCGATTACAAATTTGTTTGCCGCTGCTCTTAAAATCCTTCAAAATCTCTCCATTACCAGCAGAGAAAGACCAGAACTTCTCAAGAGAACTTGTCAAGCATTCCCAGCCAACCTCAGGGACTGTCTCCTGGTGTACCTCCCCACCCTTTGCTCAATGCTCCAGTGGTATTTAATTATTCACAGTACCTCAAACAGGACAAACAGTCCATGCCTTCCTTTCCTGTTGAAACTATTTAGGCTCTTCCCACTGTCTGAAAAATCTATCTCCTCTTCATCCTGTGGTACCAACAAAGACTGGAACATTTTTCCAATGCTAGCAAAGCTGTGTTAACCTCCAAATCACCCTGTGCTCACTTCTACTGCAGATATTATGACATTGCACTATCATCATCCTTTGGTTGTTTTCTTACAATAGACTACAAGTGTGTTAAAGGCTGGGAATATGCCTTCACCTTGCCGCTTGCAATATGCCTGATTTATAGTATGTATATTGGATATTATTTTAATTAATTACCATTTAATCATAAATGAAATAATTACTTCTACAACTGCCCAGACAGTCATTTAGAATCCACACAGAAAATCTCAGGGAGAGACAACTTATTTCTTCATGAACATTCTAAACACCAGAAAGGCTTCTTAAAGTAGGCTACTATAAACGCCTCACCTCCAGAAATGAGCAATGCTTGCCTCAAGGAATAATAGCAATGATAATGTTAAGAGTAATAATAATACAAATGACATTTCTAGAACCAGGTCTGGATTCTTAACATAAATGTGCTCAGTCTTTCCTCGTAGCACTCTACTGAGTCAGACACTATTATTTTCTCCCTGGTCCAGATGAGAAAAAAGGAGGCTTAGAGAATTCCCTGAAGAAAAGACAGCAAGCAAGTTGTTGAGTCAGAATTCATATTTAGCGTATTCAGTCAAGTCCTTAACACTAATACACTAATTAGCTTCCATCTCAAAATCAACTATCAGAAGTCAGCCAGTTAGTTACTTAACTCCTTGACTAAGAAGACATGCAATTAAAAAACAACTATATAACTTTATTTTTAACTTTTTTCCAAATTCTTCCATCCATGAAAGTATTTTGAGAGAAAACACCTGTTAACATCCTGCTGAACTACAGGTAACCAGTTCTAATACTGGTCTAAGCTTGATTTGTCTCTTAATTCATTGTTGAATTGTATTTGTTTTTTCTGCAGTTGTAGCACAATACTGGCACATAGTGAGCAAGTAGCCAACTGTGCTCAAAGTGCATTCACCTGATATGAATCATACCCAAATCCCACTGAATGAGGATCTCTGGGGTGAGACCTGAGTTGCACAATTTTAGTCAACATCTTAGGTGATTCATAGGCACATTCAAATTTGTGAACTGCAAATTTTAAGTAAACTGATAAAACAGTGTCCATTGCTGTCCTGGACTGAGAGTCTTACATCTAAGCAGGATATCTTACATATAAGCCCAGTGGTCCCCTCCTTCCCAATTTCCACCCTCCCTGTTCTCTCAAGCCTGTTATTCTGTCTTTGCCATGTTTCATGCCTTCAGATCTTTTTATTATTCAATGTTACATGACATGATATTCCCCGTTAAGCCTTCATGTTTGCTCACTACTCCACTGACCTTCCCCTTGATTTTTGGAAAATGCCTACTTATCTTCTGGGAGTTAACCAAAATGTCATCTTTGTTTCCTCCTTAACCTGTGGGTCTACACTATATCAATGTCTCTACTATATCACTTAGTGCACTATAACTGTGAATTTATAGTTCTTCTTTTCCTACTGAATACAAGTGTTGCGAAGGCAAGTGCTAAATTTTAATCCATTTTGCATTCTTAGAACATAACCTAGTTCTGGCCAACAGTTGAAATTCAATAGTTGTCAACTAACAGATTCAAAAGCATTAGAAACTCTGATGCTTTTTTTCTTTCCCAGTTTGTTTAGTTAAAGGAGAATGTACAAATCCTGACAACAACATGCTACTTTATCATCCAATCAGTGTGGACAAAGTAGAGGAAACACAAAAGACTATAGTGATAAAGAAACCCAGCGTTGAAGTACAAAGTCAAGTACTCTGACAACTGCACTTACATCTAAAAAACAAACATTACTAAGAAATCACCTAAGATAGATAAATCAGCGATGAATTGAATCAATGATGAAAAAAATTGAAAAAGAATCAGATTTTTTAAAACACTCACTAAATTAAAAAAATCTTGCAACTGATAGCAAGTACATACTACAATTAAGAATTAAACAGTAAATTTATAGAAAACATGAGGCAATTAATTAAAGACAATCCTGCTTTTGCATCAAGTCTAATCATTTTTTAATGTCACTAAAGCCTAATAATACATTAAAATATGTTTGATCTTATTAGTTTGCTTAAATTCTATATTTCTAGCATTGCATTCTAAGTATCAAATTACAGTCAACATTATGTGCCTGGGAATTAAGCATAAGCATACAGCATACACAAATGATACAAATATGAAAGTTGCTCAACTTTGACGCATCCACTAATTATTTTAGATGATGGTGATAGGTTCACTCAGGCCTAATTATAAAGTTATAATATATTTAAAAAATTAAAGATAACTGCTATTTTCGATTCTGTTTGTACAGAGAAAAGTCAGTTAAGGTTCTATTCTGCCCATTTCCTACTCAGTCTACTTGGTTGCATTAAGAGAATTCTAGTAACTTTCATAATATTCCTCTCATTGCTCCTACAAGAAGCCTAAAAGAGAGAAGCAGAACAACTTAAATGATAAGTCAAACTGTAATAACTATTGTTATATTTTCCTAAATACCAATTTTACTACTTTTATCTAAAAATTAATACATCAACATCGGTAAGGAAGTTTGTTACTGCAATGATTATTATGCCATCATTTCCGGTACAATTATTATACAATATTCACTTTTAGCAAATAGCATTTAATCCTAAGTCAATAAACTTAAAAGTACCAAAATCAAGAACCCCATATCTGAATTTCTATTCTATAATTTGCAAGCATAGACACAAATTTTACATAAATTCTGAATAATGTCTGGCCTTCTCATGGAGCACAAAATGACAAAAAACTCAAAAAAATTTATATTGGTCCAAATAGTTTTTGCTTAAACATAATTTATAAACATGTAATATATATTTAGAGTCAATTAATATTATTTGAATATATGGGCAATATTATTTAAATCACGACATTTTATAAAAGATGTCTTTGCATTTTATTATTTACTAAACAATTTTAAAATCCTGGATAAAATATTGGTGTAAAATAAGAGAATTTATGCAACCAAAAGTTGATTACTTTTTCTTTCTAGGTCTCTCATCATAGAGACAACTCAAAGGAAAACACCTTTTACTGCTAAGACTAAATTACAGAAAAAACTGTCAAGAAAGACTATCTTGGCCTTTGCTCCAATTTTTAAAGATGTCTACAGCACAGTCAGATATTGTTGAAGAATGGCAAACCTCTAAGATTTGATAGCACACCAACCAGGGGCTTCAAACAAAGAATGAAGGAGACACTACTGAAGTGTCTGCATGAGATTTTCTGGACACATAAAACAATGAGGAAATGTCAGTTTAGCAAGATGTTGGTATCATGATCAACTTTCAGGAAAGAAGACCAGTCAAGTAATTGCAGTAATCATGGAGTATTTTTGCCCAACATTACCCATAACATTTTGCCCCAAGTTCTTCTGCTTTGATTTCTATAAAATGTATTTTCTAGGACACTCCCAAATTACAACACTGCTTTACATTCCCATCACATCATCTTTGGCTTACTGTTCATTAAAGAATATTCAGGGAAATTGTTTTTTCTGTATTGTATTTACTGACCTTACAACAACATTTAACTTTGTTTGCAGATCTCCAATAGCTCTAAATGCTTTTCTCTTCAATTCACCAGTCATCCCTGGGAAAACCCACCATGACCTGGTTATTTACATTTGAGAAGATGATGTTCTATTGCCAATAGGTTGAACCAGTGTTGCATTAAAAATAAATAAATCAAACAAAAGTAGAAAAACGTATTATAAAAGACTTATACACAAAAGGGCCAAAGGAAAAATAGGTATCATTTCTTAATTATCTAAATATCTTCTGGCTCAGCTTGGGAGGTAAGCTCCTGCAGGTCTTCTCATAGGTGTTACAAGCTGAAGGGAAAAAAAGTGGTTAAGTGCATAAGCAGGCTATTTTTAAGGCTTTTTAGGAAGACAATAACATGTAAAACTAGTGGGGAAGGTAGCAATGGAAGACTGCAACTGGAAGGGAATCTTGAAAATAAGGCAAATCCCTAAAATAATGACATATTTCTGATATTGTTGAACAATAAGACATGGAAGGGATCAGAGCCTATCCTTCCTAACAGTCTTGCTGCTTCCCGACAGCTAAAATTTGTGCATTTAGTGTTAAACACAGTATAAACTAAGCAATCAAAATTGAACAGAATGAACACTTAATCAGAAGTCACAAGATCTAAATACTAGCCCTGCCATTGTCGTTAACTTATCATGGCTGAAACATGTCAGTTGTCTTCTCTGTGAATTGAGGCAGTTGTGCCAGATGATTGCCAATTTTCTTCCAGTTCTAATCAGCATAAACACCAGAAGTCTATCACATATTTCTTCACCAATTTCACTAATATAATATATATTTTGGACACATATAATAACATGCACACACGCACTTCTCAAACAAAACTTAAAGCCATATTCCCACAAATCTATTCTATCTCTTACCCACATACAAATTTTACAAACATGTTCCCTGAGTATGTGTCTGTATTACAACAGTGAATATATATTTGAATATATATTCTTTTTATGTATATACATATACCCTAAAAATAGAAAAATGATTTTCTAAAAACAGAAATATGGAGCACTATACACTATACATACACATTCATTTTAAAATAATCTTCACTAGTGAGCACATTAAAATATATCTTAATGAACATTATGAACAAAATATAATTTTAACTTATGAAGTGTGCTAGACAGCACACTATTTTCTACGTTTATTCTAATAGAATGGGTTATGGAAGAGATTAGAATTGAATAATTTGACACTATTTTGTAAACACTTAAATATGTTAGGCATAGTGTAAGTCCTCAAGAGAATAAGACTGTCCCTTTTATATAAAATATGAAAAGGGGAAAAACATGGTGTTGTTGATAAGATACTTTTCAAGTGAAAATGCGACTGAGATTATCTAATCGGTTACCCTTGCAGGTGGTTGGATATACACCTGCACTGAATCTTAGACCTAAGAAATGACAGAGCTGAACATCTTCATGGGTTTCATGACAGAGCCACAGCAAAATGATTTCCTGAGATCAATATGTGGTTGAGAGAAAGCTGTTTTCAATGGAAACAGGAAGCTGGGAGCTAACCTGTTTCTATGGTAACCACAGCAGTAGCTACCCAACAGCTGTAGGGAAAAAAAAGGGCAGAAAGTTACAAACGAAATTGGAAAAAAAAAAAAAAAAAAAAAAAAAAAAAAAAAAAACCAGATTCTGGTTTACTTTATTAGTGTGATGGTCCTTGGAGTGCAATCTGAATGGGCATGAACATGTCGTCCCTTCCTCTCTCCCCCAGAATCTTTAGCAATAATTATCCTACAAATCTCAAAATTTTAGAGCTGAAGTTTAGATACTATCTAGTCCAATGTGTCATCTCAATGTTTGGGTTTTATTTTTCAGAATAAAGCAAAGGAAATCAAGATTTAGGAAGATGAAGTAAATTCTCCAAGTTCACACAACTAGTGTTGAAATCAAGACTGGAGCGTAGGTCTCTTAGGTCTCAATTCAGGCATTTTTCAATTCTTTTTCCACATAATATCCAGTCCTGCTCTGTTCTCCTCCCAACACTCACATTCTATTCACTTTCTATGAAAATATTGACTACACCGTGTTAGGATTATTACCATCCCTCAACCTGCACGGAAGGCAAAAAAGCAGTGCTTTTCTGTCTTAAAAGAATATTTTGACTGCTCTTCTCGAAGAAAAGCCCTTCATATTTCAACCAGAATTGAATTAAGTTTATGGAATATATTGAAGGTTATTTTTTAGACTATTTTTCCACTATATATTTTCTTCTACAGGTCTGTGTTTATCTTTAATGCCCTTTACTATTTTATTTAGACACATTTCTAAAGGTTCCCACAATAAAAAGAATACATGGCTCAGAAGTTCAAAGAATACAATACTTGAAAATGACATTTACTTTATTTGTCATAGTAAAAATTGATGGCAATGATAAACATTTTCAAATGCAAAATCTACAAAAAGGTTGATCTATACCTTCCTTTTCAGTTGCTTTGAAAATGAGTTTACTGACAAAGATAAAAAACTTTCCTTGTCTTTTATTTAATTTTGTCAACTCAGGTCTACAAGTGAGCTCTTAGCAAAATATTACAGAAGAGATCATACCTAATCTATCCAACTATATTCACTTTTTGCACACCTAATGTCCAACCATAAATCAGGCCACCTCATATGTATATCACTTGTATGTATATTTAGTTGGCAATTAAATTTACTTGATTATTTTAGTGATCTATTAATCAGGTACTCTCTGATTCTATCCAATGCTTAGACTATAAGCATAAAATTAAATTTATTTATAAGCCTTTTGACCCTGAAAAGGTCAAAAGACACTTCAATGCTTAGGTGGAAAGTGCAAACACACTGGACTATTATAGCAGACTCTTTTGAGGAATATGAAGTTTGGGTATGCATTGTCATGATGTTGGCCATGACTTTTAATTAAATAGAAATAATGAAAGAAACTTGGCCACACCTCCAAATAGCTCAATTGTTGTTTGGTATAAGTACAGTCTTCATTATATTGTAAGGAGAGAGCCTGTAAGTCATTGTGAAAACAGAAAAATAAAGAATTTAAGAGCCTAATATTTTGTAATAAAATAAAGACCAATAATACCTTAACATCATCATTTCTAAAAGGAATATTTTACTGCATGTGTCAGGCAATATTCCTATGTGAGTTTTTTTTTTTTAGGAAAATGTATTTTTAACACCTCTAGAATTTTATTTGCCATAATCTTGTTTTTTTTTAATTTAATAGATAATGCCTTTAGGAAACGTTTTATTACAAATAGAGAGGTGAGCTCATTGAAGGCAAAGGATTATATCTTCTCCATGCATTCCCAGTACTTTTCATAGTTTTCAGTCTACAGTGACTGTGTAATCAATATTCATTGAATAAATGTGCTTTCTAAAATTTTAATAATTGACAACAATATTTTATGAATAAGCTATATTTAGCCATTAATTCTTTTAATTAGAACCACTCTTACAAAACAAGACTTAATACATTTTCTTCCTTTAATCTTAATATATGATTCAAATTGTTCCTATACCTTATTATAATTTTTAAAAATCAAGTGCTACATTTAATACTAGCAAATGTTTATTTAGATCATGTCTTTCTTGTTTTGTTTTGTGGCTTGGCGAAGAGGAAAAAGTGGCCCATACAAAGTAAATTAAATATTTGCAAATTTGAGTCTAATGCTAGAAATTAAAATTTCCATTTTAATGGCTTCTACGGAGTACGTTTTGGTAATGCTGTAGAAGTAATCTATAATGCTAATAATATGAATATTTTCAAGATTTAAAAAATGATAGATTCGCTATCACAATCCCTGTATGATGCAGAAGGATCGTATATGAGATACAACCCATATTGTATTTCAACAACAGTAAATGAGATAAAGGTCAGGGGAATGTATGTGAAAGAGCTAGAAACACATCAAAAAGGCAACATCTTAAGTGGGGTTCCATGGCAGTTATTATTTTGTTTTTTCTTTTCTAAAATGTGCTTTAAAAGTAAAAAACAGAAGATCTGCCAAGTAATCAAAGATATGCATAAATCACCAAGGAAGAGCCAACATTCTAAAACAGAGCTGAATTCAATCATCTCCCCTACCCTATAAAAAATATAAGTGAAAAGAAGAGAAAGAGAAACTTATAACTGCTCTCAGCTGTTTAATATTCCAAACAGATTCTTCAAAATTGTCTTTTATTTTAGTATTTTGTCCTTATGTGATTTTTAAAAACTTCTAAAAATCTAGAAACTCTATCAAGGAATTTCTGCTTGGTACCTGTCCTCTTATATATGATACATTCTTCAAAGGAAAGCACATACAAGCTTCATGTTTTTCTAACACTTACACATTAAATTGAAAATATACAGTGCATCACATTTTTACAAATATATTTATGCATCCTTGTTTTTTACTGTTTGTAAATATCACTCACTAGCATCAACAAAATAAACTCTCATTTTTTTCCTGATCTCGTTTTCTCCACAACAGGTTTCCATGACAACTTATATTTGAATTTTTATAAATTTCTATTTTTGAATACTATTCTTAAGAATAAGAATTTAAATGTATAAAATATACACTTATTTACCAATTGAAATACAACAATATAGACCCCTCATATACGTATTTACTTCATAAATTAAAAATCACAGAGGAGAGGGACATGCCAACCAAAACAAAAGGCAAAAATGCAGGGTTGCAAAATTCAATTAATTATTCAGTTCCTATCACCGTTGTTTTGTCTGCCATTTAAATCACAAAAATTACAAACAAAGCACATCTATTATATAACTGATCCAATCCTTTCAATATTGGAGAAAAAAGAAAATTGTGAAACAGGTATAATGAGTTGAAAAGGGAAATTTAGAGAGTTAAAATTTTTTGTGTCAAATATTTCAATGAAAGATGAGCTAATGTTAAAAAATAAGAGTGTTTATAAAAGTTTAAATACTTCTATTAAGAATGAGACTCATGATAATAAGAACTGAAGCAAACCACTTGATAAATGTTTTATGTTTCCTCGAATTGTGTCGATGCAAAATATAATTTCAACTTGTGGCCTCCACATATGATTCTATTTTTCAAACTAGTCAGATAACGTTGTCAGGTTATCATCTTAACTAAAAGTGCTCAGGTAAAAATATTAAGTCACTTTTAAATAGAATGGTGACTTATGATTACTTTTTTTCAGCCAACCCCTAGGAATTTGAAAAGGGATTTCCCTGAAGACAAGACCCACAAAAGAAAGCCAAATATTAAACCCTGACTGGTCAATAAAAATGGAAAGTTCAAACAGGATTCTTTTTAAGAAGTTAATTCAAGTCCCATATTTTTATTCTACTGTTGGGTGGTAAAGGGTAAAAATTCCAGGAGCGAAAGTCCTGGAATACATATATTTTAAAAGTCATAGATGACCTTTCACAGTTAGGACCCTAGTGAATGTCTTATGCCGCATTAAATCTCAAGACCAATGTGATCTGCAGAGATTTCACAATCCAGTCCAGTTATAATCAGTAGTTTTGCTAGAAAGGGCCTGAGGAGAGTGTCATGAGACCTCTGGGATAACTTTGGCTTTGCTATTAACTTGATGTATAACCTTGGCCATCACTTAGCATCTGCAGTCTTCATTTCCCTCATCTACAGTATAAAGGGTCTTGACTAAACGTGACCTCAAATAAATTTTTCAGGTCTATGATTCTTAGCTGATTCTGCTTCTACTTGCTCTTTGACCTTGTTTTAATCTCAATTTTGGTGTATTCTTTTCTCACCAAAACAGATGCAGATCAAAGTCTCAAGAGTATTATAAAGAAATATCGTAGTAAATGCTTTTTAAACACAATTTTCAAGTCAATGGTTTATCCTTTTGATCAATAAACTATAGAATCAAATTTCATGGCAATGATAAAAGTTGAACACCTTCTTAAAGTTTTTGCTATGCAATCTGGCCTACAATAAGATGTATTATGTTATCATAAGGAAAAATAGTAAAACATTATGTCCTTTTGTAGCACATGATCTGGAAAAAAAGAATCACATGATGGGCCTGAAAACAAATTCAGATTATCTTTTTAGCCACCAAGTGGAAAGAGCTCCATAACACTCAGCTGGAATCCAAAAAACACAGATGCACAGATGTAATGGTCATGAGCCTGTGGTTTAATTTAAATGAATATGCACTTGCGGTTTTGTTTGGTTGGTTTGGGTTTTTTTTTTTTTTTTCCTGAATGCCAACTCTGTTGTTGAATTTATGGCATGGCCTGAAAAAAAAAAAAAAAGATTTCCAAGTTGAAGCTACTAATTCTATGTTCAAATATGTGTATGCAGGCATGTTAGAATTTATGTATGCATTTAAATACCAAGTCTAAAGGAGTAGCAATGCTTTAAATTGTCTCTTTCATATTCTATTTCACACTGAAAACAAAACACGTCCACAGACTTCCAAAGTGTTATCAGTAGCACATCTTCTGACAAATTAGTAGATAGCTGCATAACGTCTCAGATGCAGACACTTCTGACATACAGAGGAAGAAAATAATGAAGATAGAGCCAAAGTAAAGTTGGGAGAATTCCCATTCTGCCCATGGGGTGTCTTTTCTGGGTGTCGGAAGCAAACCAGACACATGCAGTTGCAAAGATTTAACTGAATACAGTACTTTGTTCTCATATATAATTAAAAACCATTCACATACTGTATAATTTTTGGTTATTTATATGTCTTTATTTCCTTTCAACCAGAGAAATCATTATTGGTTACTTTTATAATCTCTTCATGAGATTTTGAAGAATTAATTGGGAATGTCAAGGATTAAAGTTGAGCTGTCATTTAAACTAGAACCCGAAAAAGAACACTGAGGCTGAAATCACAATATTAAAAGTAAAATAAAGTTTGCTCCAATCTAAATTACTCAGATTTAGAGAACTAGGATCACCAAAGTGGTTAATGTATGTTCAACCTGTAAGGATCAGAGATACAGCCCTAAGCAAAAGGGACGAGGCTCAAAATTCTGTGTGTAAGTGGGCTCTCTGGTCAACTCACGGAAACAATCCTAGTATTCGTCTCCCTTGGAAAGTGACAGGCCCAAACAACGTTCTGGAGATTCTCTTCACAACATAAACCTCCAGGCAAACCTTTCCTCCCTCCACCTCCCCAGACACATAGATACATTCCATTTCCCCTTCCTCTGTCCTCAGATTCAACCCCCAATTGGAGCCACGGCTCTGGGTGAGTCAGATGTGAAGGGGGCCTCACTGAAAATGTCAAATAGGGATGACCAGGAGGCCAGAAGAGAGATCTGAGCTAAAGGAAAAGTTAGAACAAAGGAGTGAGGGAGAAACTCGAGATGAATCCTCATACCCGTTTCAGGACAGGGTCCAAAGACGTGCACAGAAAAGTCGACATTGGCCCTCTAGGTCCCATCTGCTAAAGCAAATCTGTTTGAGTTGGGAGAAGAGGAGGAGGAGAAAGATGGGACTGGGTAGGGATGGTGGCCGGGGTCCCTGGGTTTACCCTGCAAAGGATGAGCCTCTAACTGTATCGCTAGGAAATCCCGGGTCTCTTCTACCCCCCATGCCTGAGGCCCTGGGGTGGAAAAGAACAGAAAGTTGGGGAGGGAGTTGGGAGAAGTTGAAGCAGCAGGGAAGGGGTCGATTCTGGCCTTACCCTGGCGGCTCTGGACGAGTAGGGGTCTTCGAAGAGGGCCCACATGCGGGGCTGCAGCCTCCTCCAGCGGCCAGATTTGCCGTCGGGGCCCCCGAGCCCCGCCGCGTCCTCGATGCCCAGCCTCTTGGCCGCCAGGTCCTCGTCGTCGCCGGGGTCGCCGCCAATGAGGTCGGGGGTCTCGAAGATGTCCAGCGCCTCCTCGGCGTCGCGGTGCTGCCGGTAGGTCATCCAGCAGCAGGGCTCCACGTCGGTCTCGTCGATGCCCCAGAAGGCCAGCTCCTCCTCGAAGAGCGGCCCGCACACGTCTGCGGGGCAGTGCAGCTTGCCGGTGCGGTAGTAATTGAGCACATAGGCGAAGACGCCCGGGTGCCGGTCGAAGAAGAACTCGCGGCCGCCACCGGGATGGTCGCTGGCCCTGCCGCCGCGGGAACTGCAGTTGCCCGCGCCGCCCTCGAAGCAGCCGCCTGGCCCGGGGGACAGCGGGGGCGCTCTCGGCGGCGGCGACAGTGGAGGCGGCGACGGCTGCAGCTTGTCGCCCGCCGTGGTCAAGCAGTCGCCTGGGGGCTCGGAGGAGGCAAGAAGGGCCAGGCGTGTTCCAGGCAGGGTCTTGAGGGTGCTGCGGTAGGTTTCGTGCCGGGTGCCCCCGACATTGAGGATCACCCTCTCGTTGTTCTCGATCTTGCCCATCTCTGTGACTCAGACATGACTAGGGGGAGGCAAACACAGCGCCGAGTTAAAGATCTTAGCCGTCAAAGACACACCATGACCCCCACCACCAACCCAGAGCGAGTCCAGGGATGCAGAGTTGGCAGACAGGCACGGGGCAAAGACCCTCCCCGGGAGGGGATCAGCGTCCAGCGCTGTCCCCGCCTCTTGCATCAAACCTTTCCCAGGTTTCCAGAGAACTACAGAGATAGCAGTCCTAGTCTTTCTTGACCTTTCATGACACCGTTTTCCCTGCCTCCCGCTTTCCTTTCTTTTGGCTCTGATCTCTTCACCTTCATCTTTTCACCTTCCACTCTTCCTCTTTTCTGTTCCCACTCAAGTCCAACCTGCTCCCAGCCCCTAACCCCCTCTCTGCCTCCCCAAACACACTCTCTCTCCCTCTAAACCTACTTTCTCCCCCTCCTTTGCCCCATTCTCTCCTCCTCCCCTGGTTGGCCTCTCATTCCCACTCTCCAAGACCCTCCTCTTTCTCCCCTTCCCCTAGCTTGGATGCAATTCTCTTAGGCAGGGAGTTTTCCTCAGGCAACTTGGCAGTGTTGGGTGAGAGCACACCCTCCCCCCACCCTGTGAAGAGCCCGGATTCCACACCCACCCTAGGTCAACCCCGGACCCCTCTCTACTCCCTAGCGCTCAGGGAGTGCCTTCTGAGCAACCTGTTCTAGGATCACCTCTACACCTGCTCACAGACCAAGCAAAAAGACAACACAGAAGTCAGAGAAAAAAAAAATCTCTGCTGTTGCTTTTCACCTAGGAGACCTCTGACTTATTTCCTCATTCGATTTCCTTTTCACGTTATTATTATTATTGTTGTTGATATTATTATTACTTGGGAAAGGAAACAACTAACTAAGATCCATCTTTAAGAATAGAAGTGATCAATGCATCCCACCCATCCCCCTTCCCAAGAAAAACAAATCCCTTAGTGGGTGGAGGGTGGGGGATTTGCTTTCTAGGAGGGGCGAGGCTCGGGGAAAAGCTGCTTGGAGGCACACCCCCTGGGTCCCTGAGCTGAAAGTCTCGCTGACAGTGTCCCTGTTTCCAGCCTCCCAGCCACCTCTCCCCAGGGCTTCATCTCTACATTCCTATTGCGGAAAGGCGGAGCGGGGGGATGCTGGCCTGCAGGGTCAACATGCCCTTTCCAGGAAATCGCCCCTTTCACCACCCCCGCCCCCATTTCCAGATACCTTAACGAGACCGAGAGAAAAGTGGTTCTGCTTTGGTTTCCGAGTGGACGAGGTTCTCTGGGCAGCGGGACTGAGTCTTGGCGCCCAGGTGAGCCGCCCTTCTCCGACGAGAAACTACTTGTTGGCGTTTTCCGGATTCAGGTGGTTGAGCCGCTTCCCTGGGCGCTGGGGTGGGGGAGAAAGCCCCCGCCGGCCGCCGGCCGCGCTCCCCGCCTTCATTCTGTGATCTGCGGATTTGCCAGTCGCCAACCTCCGCGCCCAGAGTCACCATCGCGCAGGGTTGGGCAAACCATGGAGCTCGGGGCGGGTCCAGCCGGCACTGCCCGACCCCTCCGGGAGCGGGCAGATCGGCTGGCCGTGAATGGAGTGGAGACTGGCCGCAGGTCAGGAGAGCTCACCACTTGAAGGTGAAGTCGCCCTGCTCGGATTCCATCTGCAGATTTTGTTTCTCCCCCAAATCAGCCACTGCTGGAGCTGTCCCTTCAGCACCACTCGCCATCAACCTCCCGCCGCCATCCGAAGCACAGGGCTCAGGAAAGAGTGGGTGGGTGGGTCTGGAGAAGCTATGTGTACCAACCAGGTTCACATATTTTTCTTCCGTGAAGCTCTGTCTCCACCCTCTCTGGAGCTTCTGCCTGCCTTATTTACACCCCACTCTCCACACCCTCTCTCTCCCCCCACCCCTCGCTATGCCCCACCCCTCCCAACAAGTGAGAGAATCTAAAACCAATTGCATTTTTTTTTTCTCAATGACAGTTGGCCGGAGAGAGAGGTCTACTAACAGGTGACAGTAAATATTGTTTTTTATGTCTTATGCATAGCTCTGGCTTGCTTTTTCAAATCAAATGTCAGTCTCCAGCCACCACACCACGGTTATCTAAAGCAAAACAAGTTTTAGAAGTTTATCCCAGGAAGATAGTGCTTTACAAAGTACAAGCTCCAGGGTTTCTTTTTGTCTGAAGCTGAAGAGAAAATCCACAGATACCCAAGTATCCAAGTAATTTTTTAATAAGCCAATTTCACCCTTTCTCAAGTTTTCATTGCCCCTTGTATTAGTTTGCTAGGGCTGCCATAAGAAAGTATGACAAACTGGGTGGCTTAACAGCAGAAATGTATTGTCTCATGGTTCTGCCAGTTTCAAATACAAAATTAAGGTGTTGTTAGGGTTGGCTTCTTCTGAGGGTTGTGGAGGAAGAATATGTTCCAGTCCTCTCTCCTTGGCTTGTAGATGGGCATCTTCTCCCTGTGCCTCTTCTGACTATTTTCTCTCCATGCATATCTGTCTCTGTGTCCAAACATCCTCTTTTTATAAGGATATCAGTTATATTAGATTGGGGCCCGCCATAAATGACCCCATTTCAACTTCACTATCTCTATAAAGATTCTATCTCCATACAAGGTTACATTCTGAAGTACTGAAAGTTAGGACTCCAATACAATTTTTATGAGGGGAAGGGGCACTATTCAACCTATAACAGGCCTCATCACCAAACAGATCGTGTGTGTGTGTGTGTGTGTGCGTGCACATGTGTGTATCTGTGTGCATATTCCATGAAAGAAAGAAAGAAAGAAGAAAGAAAGAAAGAAAGAAAGAAAGAAAGAAAGAAAGAAAGAAAGAAAGAAAAAGAAGGAAGGCAGACACTATTCTACAGGCATAGTTTGTTAGAATTGAAGTCCACCCAGTAAGGAAAACACCAGGTCCTCTGTGGAAGAAGATTTCTTTGATAAACAGGTATTGATATGATACTATGGCTTAGAAAAAGCAAGATTTGTGAGTTATTAATAAGAAAATTTTAGCAATATAGAGAGTGATAAGACAGGTAGTAAAATGTGAATTCACCAAATAAACGTCTATCTGTTATGACACATTAAATAGGTTAACAAAGTAGAGAACCAAAAGGTCTTTGGAAGGTCATTGATGTCTAGAAAATAAATGCAAAAGATGTAATATATACATTTATTTTTTAAATTACTGACAATTTTACAGTAAATGTGTAAAGACAATGTGTACCCAGCATGTGAGTTACTAACACACACAAAAATGTATAAGGCTTTAATGTGAAGAAAATTATTTTAATTTTGTACAATTATCAATCACTGAGGTATTTCCAAAAATAATAATGATAATAAATTTCAATTGCCAGAAAAATTACAAAGAAAAAGTATATTCACCTTCTAACAGTCATTCTTCCATTGTCTAGATGGTATCATATATTGCTTAATGTAAATTCAGTAGGTAAAAGGGGGAATGTGGTTTGCTTTAGAATAAATTAACAACTGTAATAGCAACAGAAGCATTTATAATAATAGGTATTTACTGAGATCCTACTATGTTAAAAATGCTTCACATAAATTACCCCCTTTTAATTTAAATAGAGAGAATGTTCACATTAAATTGCAAGACTGTAAAAAGATAACTCATACAGATGATAGGAATCAGTAATGAAAACCTTTAGTCTCATAATATTAGTTGCATTATAAGACAACTACAGAGAAAACAAAAAGAAAGGAAAAGATAATGCAAAGTACTCATGGGGAGGAAAATGGAAAGACAAAGATCTAATGAATCAGTTTGGGTGTAAGGTTATATTATATAAGCTATCTAGAAATAATCACATTGACAAGAGGATCATCGTTCAGAAGAACTCAGACTTTTCTTGTGATTCAAAAAGAATTATATAGAGAACATGTCAGAAAAGTTTGAAAATAAGAATGTGGAAAGATAAAAGGATGAGATGTGCATGTCAATGCAGAATTGATACACAAAGCAAGGAATAAAATACAGTCTCTTTTATTTTTTGCTGGTCAATAGAACAGGGGAAGAACCTAAAACAAATATCCAGGCTCCATTATATAAGACAGGAGAGAACAGAAAACCCCTCCAGCCAATGAACTTTACTGAACCTGCTGTAAAAGTCAGATAAAAGTGAAAAGAAAGCAAAGCTTTGAAATATGGCAATGGAAAACTGAGGGGGAAAAACATTTGTGGTTTCCTTTGTGGTCTGTGTGGAGCAAGGATTTAGAAAACTGTACGGACATTACCCCTTGCAGGGAAGCAACTGAAATGCTGCTTGCTTTATAATTCTTGAGTCAGCATCACAGAAAGGCTACAGAAACTAAGCACTACGTCACCATCAGAAACGTGGATTGATCTCATGAAGCCACACTGTGACTGTCAGAATGACATACTTGCAAAAGTCTAGCATTTGAACAACTTAATTCTTCTAAAGTCTAATGTGAGGATTTTTAAAATATTGTTCACTCTCATCATTCTCAGTAAACTATCGCAAGAACAAAAAACCAAACACCGCATATTCTCACCCATAGGTGGGAATTGAACGAGATCACATGGACACAGGAAGGGGAATATCACACTCTGGGGACTGTTGTGGGGTGGGGGGAGGGGGGAGGGATAGCATCGGGAGATATACCTAATGCTAGATGACGAGTTAGTGGGTGCAGCGCACCAGCATGGCTCATGTATACATATGTAACTAACCTGCACAATGTGCACATGTACCCTAAAACTTAAAGTATAATTAAAAAAAATATATTGTTCACTCTCAAAAAGTAATATATCCACAAACAAAATTTTTCTGCAGTAGATTAAAGAATGGCCACAATTTTTCATTGCTCCCTACAGATTTGGCCCTTTATAATGTGACTTTGCAACTTCTCCCTTCAAGTCTGTTTCTCCAGCTCTTGAATCTGTGCTGACTTTGTAACCTACTTTGGCCAATAGAATGGAATGGAAGTGATTATGTACCAGTTCCAAACCCAGGCTTCAAATGGTCTAGTATGCTTCTACATTCTTGCTCTCTCTCTCTCTCTACCTTCCTCTCTCTTTCTTGGAACTGTATCCTGATACTATGAAAATAAGTCTTAACTAGTTGACCTCATGATGAAAGACATATATGACAGTCATGCACACACACACACACACACACACACACACACACACTTTCCGTACAATAAGAAATGGTATTAGGAGCCAACTCAGAGGACATAATAGAGGATTATCCATAAAATTAATAAGTTGTATCTCAAAACAGCTAAACTTCTCATTTCTGCCCCCATATGATAGCCAGCTGGTTTCCAAAAGTAGAAAACTGTCTTCCTTCCTCTTATTCATCTGTCTAGAGCTGTCCAGCCCAAATGCACTGCCCTACAGAATCACGAGCTAAATAAAAGACTATAGTTAAGCTATGAAATTTGGGAATGGTTTGGTATTACTGATTAATACTCTAAATTTCTTTTGCTCAAAAAGTAATAATATGAACCTACATATCTGCCCTCTTTACAATAACTAACATTTGTATTATGTACTGTGAATTCAAAAAGAAAAACAGTATCTGATATATATTTTTCTCAATTTCATACGTTCTTGCTAAGCATTCTTTACAGTGGTTAATTACACAGGCCTTGGAGACAAATAAAATAGAATTTATCTTCTGGGTGTCATTCACTAGATGTCTCACCTGGAGAAAGCTGCACAACTCCTTCAGCCTTAGTTTTTGATGACACTATACTAGCTATGAGTATTAAATGACAAAAGGCCTGTAAGGCCTTAGAAATATTTCTGACACATTTTAGGCATCTACTAATTGGTAGTTTTTATTGTCAAATGAGAAAAAAGTCTCAGCCTCAACTCAAGTAGTTAATAATTGGCAGAAACAGGACCATGTTCCATATCCTCTGATAACCATCCTAACTTCTGTCATACCATATTGCCTTGCATAGAGGTCAAAACTAGCTCAAATACTTAATATTCCTCATAAATGTAGTGAAAGTGCAATGTTTTAATCCTTGTAATAAATCTCCATTCTTCTCAAATTATTTTTACTTAAAAATATATGGGCTGGGCATGGTGCCTCACACTTGTAATCCTAGCACTTTGGGAGGCCTAGGTGGGCAGATCATGAGGTCAGGAATCTGAGACCATCCTGGCCAACATGGTGAAACCCCGTCTCTACTAAAAATACAAAAAATAGCTGGGCGTGGTGGCGGGCACCTGTAATCCCAGTTACTTGGGAGGCTGAGGCAGGAGAATCGTTTTAACCTGGGAGATGGAGGTTGCAGTGAGCCGAGATCACGCCATTGCACTCCAGCCTGGGTGACAGGTCAAGACTCCATCTCAAATATATATATACATATACATATACAGTATTAGATATTATAATATATAGTATATATTTATGTATATATATTAATGTGTATATATTTATGTACTAACCATCTTTAAATGAGCTACTACATTGTCTTAGTCCATTTTGTGCTACTATAACAAAATAATTAAGACTGGGTAATTTATAAAAACAGAAATGTACTCCCTCACAGCTCTGGAAGCTAGAAAGACAAAGATCAAAGTGCCAACACCTGGTACGGGTCTTCTTATTGCATCCTCAGATGGTGGAAGGCAGCAGGACAAGAGAAGGACAAATTCTTTGTCTTCACATTGCAGAAGAGAGAGAGAACCTCCTCCTGAAATTTTTTATAACAGCATTATTCCATTTATGAAGGTGGTGCACTCATAACCTAAGAACATCCCAAGTCTCACCTCCCAACACGGCCACACTGGGGATCAAGTTTCTAACACACGCATTTGAGGGGACATATTAAGACCACGGCATTTACGCAATACACTCTTTTCTTACCCAAACTAATTACAGTAGATGCTTGAATAATACAGAGATTGGGGCACTGATCCCTACACGGTGGAAAATCTATACATAACTTTTGACTCTCTAAAAACTTTACTAGCCTACTGTTGACCATAAGGCTTACCAATAAGGCAGTCAATTAACACATATTTTGAATGTTATCTGCATTATATATTCTTGCAATAAAGTAAGTTAGAGAAAAAATGTTATTAATAAAATCATAGGGAATAAAAAATATATTTACCATTTATTAAGTGTAAGCGAATCATCATAAAGGTATTCATCTTAACCACCTTAATGTTGAGTGGACTGGGGAGGAGGGGCAAGAGAAAAAGTTGGTCTTACTGTCACAGGGGTGGCAAAGGTGACAGAAAATCCATGTATGAGTGGGCCTGCACAGTTCAAGCCCATGTTGTTCAAGGATCAACTATTTTTGTGATGATTATAATAAAATAGACCTACATATGATGAATTCATGGATTACTAATTTTACAACTTGACCATTGGGTTTGTAAGAAATACATATTTGCAGAGGCTCTGCATAAATATCTAGCATAATAACATAGATGTTTAGTCAATTTAAGCTTGCTGTATACTTATAAAATTGATATGTAAGAGTGCTGCAAAAAGGCATTTTAGATTAAAGAAAGAGAAAAACAAATTTCTCTAAATATAAGATGATGTTGATTGGTAAGCATTAAAAGTAAGAGTTGAAAGTAGCCTTGCTTTGAAAAACAATTCTTGGTCATAGCCTTCTTCACCAGTCATTCATTTAAATAGATAAAGATAAATGAAAAATAGAGATAAATAGATGATAGACAGGATGGATAGATAGACGGATAGATAGATAGATAGATAGATAGATAGATAGATAGATAGATAGATAGATAGTAGGTGGATGGATGCAGAGAAAGAGAGACAGACAGACAGACTTTAGAAAATAGAGCAGCTCATTATTCATATCACACTATCTGAGGTCATTGTAATTTACAAAGGGGGCAAAATGAGCAGATTTTCCTGGGGGGATTGTCCTAACACTAAGGGTTAAATCATTGGCAGATATCAATAAAGCATACTCTAGTTTCTTGTTCTTCTTGTTCCTCTACAGATCATGGATGATAACTATGACACTTGAATATCTGAATAATTGTATAACCTGTACTTTTAGTACTTTACCTCCTTCTACTGCTAATTATTTCATTATTTATAGAGTAAGTGTATGGCTTACTCTATCACATTGTAAACTCTGTAGATCTGCTCTATCTATATTTTCTGATGACCTCTCAGCCATAGGAAAGTTCTATGCTTGGAAATACATCACATCACATCCCCTGAGAAGGTTTTTAAAATGCAAAAATCTTCACCCTGAGATTTTGATTCAGTGGTTTGGTGCAAAAAATTGTAAGTCTGTTTTTAAAAAGTATCATATATTTTATGAAACACTGTCTATAGGAAGTTGCATTAAAGCAAATATTTATAAAATATGAGAAGACATTACCTGAACATACCATCTGCAGAAAATGTTAGGGAGGAGTGAGGCAAAAAGAGAACTAACATTTATTAAGGAAAAACTGTAATTCCAGGCACTGTATCTGTATGTATTATTTCATTATTTATTATAATAGGTCTACCAAGAAAATACTGAAATATCATTTTTTTATATTTGGCAAAGGATTGTCAGATTAATGAAGAGAACAGTATTACTGTAATTGCAGCAGTTAAAACTTAAGTACTTAAGTGCAAAATAAAATGCCAAGAGCTTTGGATTTAACCCATTTTATCATCAACCTATCATTTTTACTGGTGTTTTCCAAAGAGGAAGCTGACGCTGAAATTGTAGAAAAACTTGCCCAAGTTCACATAGCTAATAAGAGACAGCTGGTAGTGTTCAAACCCACAGGTGTTTAATTCTAATGCCTGTATCCTGGTCAAAGAGTAAACAGCAGAGCTGTGATTTGAATATATGCAGAACCACGATTTGCATAGAAAATAGAAGATAATCGACATGACAAAAAATAAATACCAAATTTAATGTATCCCAATTGTTTAGGAAATTGAAAACCCACCACCAAAATATCTTAGAGCTCTTTCCTCTGCTTAATAAATAGCATAGGATAAAACCAGTAATCAAAATAGGCAAGTAAAATGAATTTTTTAAGAAAAAAATGAGTTTGAATTTGTTTAGTACAAAAGGAGAAGAATGGAAAACATATGTCACAAATATTTTTCTGAAAAAAATGTTGAGAATGATCGGTTGATTTCCTCAGGAAATAAAAGTAAAAGCTCAAGGAATGAGGATGCTGAAAGGGACTTGCAATAAGACTGAAGCTTGTCTAAGCACACCAGTTTAGTTTCATTATTTAGAAAGATACCTAGACAAGTAGAAAAGCAGGCTTCTGAAAAGCTACTACATGCAGTTTTCAAACAGAATCAAGGGAGGTAAAAATAACATGAGGGCAAAGGAGCAGTTCTAAAGAGGACCAGACTGAGGCAAACATGGAAATTCTTTTCCTTTAGCCATGCCATGGAAACTTATTTTAAATTTTATTTGTATTTACTTTGTAAATAAATCAAACAATAAGATAGTATAAAATATCATGCAACTTGAGGAACAGACATGAAAAATAGTATAAAACTCCAATATGGATTAGCATGACAAAAGAACCCCTCAAAGAAAATGTTAAGCCATGCACCAAAATACACAGTGAATTGTTTCCAAGAGATATAAAATACACTTCAAATTTCTGCTGGAAAAAAAATCCATTTCAACACTATATTTAGATATATAACTTTAAAAAGTCCAATATTCTCTAAATGATCTAAATCTTATTATTGCCGTAATTACATTTGGACATTGAGTTAAATAAATTTAAGAGCATTTTTAGTTGGTGCTATGGTATGAATGTGTCCCAAAATTTCATATAAGGTAATCATCAGTATGATAGTGTTAAGAGGTGGTACATTAAAGAGGTGATTAAGTCATAAGTGTGGAGCCCTCATGGATGGGATTAGGGCTCTTATAAAAAGGCTTGAGGAAGTGAGTTTCCCTTCTACGCATCTTTCAAATCTCAGTTTAAATATCTTTACCTCCAAGGCTTCCTTGATGTTCTAAAATAAGTTGTACTCCGTGGACTGGATATTGTGCATATGCTCTAGCACCCTTTATTGCTCCTATCGAGACAACCAGAAGCCGGAATTGCAATTACTTATGTAACTGTTTGTCTCACATGCTAGATTGTAACTGCTGGAATCAAGTGTGTCTTTGCCACAATTATATACCCAATGTCCAGTTTAGTGCCTGATTTGCAATGATCAGTGATTTTGATAATGAAGATGATAATGATGATGATGAAATAACTGCAATGTTGATTATTTTGCAAGTGAAGATCATAGTTATCATTAATGTATACCTGCCATCTTCCAGGTCCTGTGCTAAATGATTTACATCTATTCTTCCATTAACTCTCATAATGCTATATATATGAACTATGATTATTTCCATTATATAGATAAGAACATGTAGGTATAAAAAGGTTACTGAAAAGTAGACATAGAAAGATTACTTGAATTGTCCAGTAATCGGAGGAAATAAGACTGGAATCCAGATGTTTTGCCTACAAAGTTTGTCTTCTTGAATATTTGTGTTGTTTTGTTGACTGTTGTAGGTGATGTGGAGGAAATTGTTCTGTATAAGTTTGAGTCCCTACAACTAAGAATTTTAGATATTGGATTCTTATTCTACTAGATTTCTGATGTTTCTTTTTTTCATTATACTTTAAGTTCTAGGGTACATGTGCATAATGTGCAGGTTTGTTACATAGGTATACATGTGCCATGTTGGTTTGCTGCATCCATTAACTTGTCATTTACATTAGGTATTTCTCCTAATGCTATCCCTTCCCCTGCCCCCCACCCCATGACAGGGTGTGATGTTCCCCGCCCTGTGTCCAAGTGTTCTCATTATTCATTTCCCACCTATGAGTGACAACATGCAGTGTTTGGTTTTCTGTCCTTGTGATAGTCTGCTGAGAATGATGGTTTCCAGCTGCATCCATGTCCCTTCAAAGGACATGAACTCATCCTTCTTTATGGCTGCATAGTATTCCATGGTGTACATGTGCCACATTTTCTTATCCAGTCTATCATTGGTGGACATTTGGGTTGGTTCCAAGTCTTTGCTTTTGTGAATAGTGCCACAATAAACATACATGTGCATGTGTCTTTATAGCAGCATGATTTATAATCCTTTGGGTATATACCCAGTAATAGGATCACTGGGTCAAATGGTATTTCTAGTTCTAAATCCTTGAGGAATTGCCACACTGTCCACAATGGTTGAACTAGTTTACACTCCCACCAACAGTGTAAAAGCATTCCTATTTCTCCACATCCTCTCCAGCATCTGTTGTTTCCTGACTTGTTAATGATTGCCATTCTAACTGGTATGAGATGGTATCGCATTGTGGTTTTCATTTGCATTTCTCTGATGACCAGAGATGATGAGCATTTTTTCATGTGTGTGTTGGCTGCATAAATGTCCCTTTGAGAAGTGTCTGTTCATATCCTTTGCTGATGGGTTTTTGTTGTTGTTGTTTGTTGTTTGTTTGTTTGTTTGTTTTTGTAAATTTGTTTAAGTTCTTGGTAGATTCTGGATATTAGCCCTTTGCCAGATGGGTAGATTGCAAAAATTTTTTCCATTCTGTAGGTTGCCTGTTCACTCTAATGGTAGTTTTTTTTGCTGTGGAGAAGCTCTATAGTTTAATTAGATCCCATTTGTCTGTTTTGGCTTCTGTTGCCATTGCTTTTGGTGTTTTAGTTATGAATTCTTTGCCCATGCCTATGTCCTGAATGGTATTGCCTAGGTTTTCTTCTAGGGTTTTTATGGTTTTAGGTCTAACATTTAAGTCTTTAATCCATCTTGAATCAATTTTTGTTTAAGATGTAAGGAAGGGATCCAGTTTCAGGTTTCTACATATGGCTAGCCAGTTTTCCCAGCACCATTTATCAAATAGAGAATCCTTTCCCCATTTCTTGTTTTTGTCAGGTTTGTCAAAGATCAGATGGTTGTAGATGTGTGGTGTTATTTCTGAGGCCTCTGCTCTGTTTCATTGGTCTATATCTCCGTTTTGGTACCAGTACCATGCTGTTTTGGTTACTGTAGCCTTGTAGTATAGTTTGAAGTCAGGTAGCTTGATGCCTCCAGCTTTGTTCTTTAGGCTTAGGATTGTCTTGGCAATGCAGACTCTTTTTTGGTTCCATGTGAACTTTAAAGTAGTTTTTTCCAATTCTGTGAAGAGAGTCATTGGTAGCTTGATGGGGATGGCATTGAATCTATAAATTACCTTGGGCAGTATGGCCATTTTCACGATATTGATTCTTCCTTCAATTTTATTCATTCACAATGTAATGTTTCTACTGTCAGCTCTGCTTCATTCTCTTCAGTATTCCAAATTATTTCTTTAGATAATTAAAAAGCCCACGATATATAATAAACTTACAAAGTTAAAATGTTTTTAACAAATATTTAGAGATTTATGGATCAACAAAAGAAATAATAAATATTTAAGTTTATGAGAAAAAAGCCCTAATTTTTTTATTAATTTGATGACATTATTTTTCAGTTAATAGTCTGCTCTAATATTAGCCATCACTATTTTTTAAAAAGAGAAAAAAACTTTCTAAATATAAGAAATATAAGAAATCTTCTCAGCCTCCTTCTTACCTGAAGCTGGAGTCCAAAAGCCTCCTCAGTTTGTCCTTTCCCTGCTCCTTTTAATCTAAGCTGAATAATTCCCTTAAATCTTTGTGTATCAAATTGTAATCCACTTCATTAAACAAAAGACACATTCATAAATATTTTTATAAAGTCTGTCTAAACCTTGTGTCCATTCATGAGGATGCTGTGATTAAAAAAAAAAAAAAAAAAAAAAAAAATCTTAATAAGTCTTAGGAGTTTTATTGTTTTAACTTGAGGTCTTGAGGTGCATCCTTTAATTCTTTTGTTTAATTGACTCCAATTATTTAATACACAATGATGCAACTGTGATCCCAAGATGTGCAAAGTTAAAGCCTTCAACTGCAGCTGAGGAGAGGGCAGGAATGATACAACTGGGGAAAGTGTTGAGTCAGGAATGACAGGCAAATAGCCATTACCAGGCAGCCTCCTCTCCAGGACCAGGGATGTGGGAGTAGCCTGAGAAGCAGGGCCCCATGGTAGCCCAGCGCCAAGGGAAGGACCCTTCATTAATTTTTTAGATGGCTTTTGTCTAACTGAAAATGTCTGTAAGACACTAACTTCTACTTTTCTGGGATTTTAGCAAATAATCTTACAGCCCTATTTGATATTCTTTACTTTGATATTCTTACTAGGAAAGATTGAAAAAAGAATTAGTTTTATTTCTAAATTCAGCAGGTTCTGGCTCATACAATTTCTCTAAATTCTGCTCAAAAGCCTAGCAATTTCTTCTTTGGTGCATCTCTTCTTATATTTTATCACAAGCAGCAAAGAGACACCAGTGTCACTTTCTACGTTCTGCCTGAAAAGTTCCCCTGGCAGATCCATGAGTTTATTAGATTCTCTTTCTATTTTTCACATTACTGTAGGCAGCAATATTGTCAAACTTTCTGCCACTGCATAGCAAGGGTTCCTTTTTTTTCAATCCCTAATAGCATTTTTCTCATTCTTCTTCAAGCCTAAGGTCTTTCCAGCTTCAACTAACAGGCTCCTTGATGTCCTTTCAGCTTTGGTCTAGCATGAAGTCCCAAAGTCAATGGCAAATGCTTTCAGTTTTTATTACAGCAACATCACACTTTCCTATATCCAAATTCTCTTCTGATTATAGCTGCATAACAAGCTACTATAAAGTTCTGAAGCTTGAAACAAGAACCATATTGTTATAGTCTCTAATGGTTCTATAGTCAGGAACTTAAGCAGAGTATGGTGAAGATGACCCATGATATCTGTGACCTCAGATGGTGATATGGTATGGCTGTGTCCCCACCCCAAATCTCATCTTTAATTGTAATCTGAATTGTAATCCCCATATGTTGGGGGAGGGATCTCGTGGGAGGTAATTAGATCATGGGGTCTGTTTCCCCAAGCTGTTCTTTTGATAATGAGTGAGTTCTCATGAAATCTGATGGTTTTCTAAGGGGCTTTTTCCCCCTTTGCTCAGCACTTCTCTCTCCTGCTGCCATGTGCAGAAGGACATGTCTGCTTCCCCTTCTGCCATGATTGTAGATTTCCTGAGGCCTCCCCAGCTATGCAGAACTTTGAGTCAATTAAACCTTTTTCCTTTATAAATTACCCATCTTTATAGCAGCACTAGAAGGGATTAATATAGATAGGATGACAAAATGGCTGTGGGCTGAATCAGCTGGGCCTAACTGCGAATCTGTCTGATACATGATCTTAGGGTTTTTCCGTGGAATGTGTCCACATTCTTTCTCCAGTATGGCAGCCCAGGCAATCAGATGCTTTACATGGAATCCCAGGACTTCAAAAGCAATAGATCCAATAAAGCATGGTGGAAACTATAAGGATTCCTATGATATTGCAAACATAAGCTTAACTTTTAGTACTAGTAGTTTAATTTATATTTCTTAAGGTTCTATTCCTTAAGGTTCTTGCTTTGGGACCATTTCATTAGTTGTTTCCTCTGCCTGGATTTCTTTTCTGATGGATCGTTTCCTGGATTGCCCTTTACATGATGCAAGTCTCAACTGAGACTTAATGTCATGTAGTGGCTGTCCTGACAGAGCCACCTTCTGAATCAGCCACCTGCAAACTGAGAGAAATGTCACTTCTGGTAATAAAATGTGTTTAGTGAGAGGTCAATAGGAAAATGAGAACCTCTTTTACAGATGGCATGAAACTACAAATATTTATGACTTTGTTATTTTCCTGATATATTATTTTCCTCCTTGAATCTTTGTGGTCTTATGATATGCAAAGTTATTCACAATTTAATCATATGCCTCTTTTCTTCTTCTCCATTACCTAGAGGTTGGGAGAATGTGTAGTTACAAAGTGAAGAAACAAACAAATTAGGATCCAGGCTAAAAACAGTTGGGACTAGAAGGTAGCGTCACCAACCCAAAAACTCCTCAACCCTCTTCCCATCAGATGTATCAATCACACATAAATTGTCTTCTCATTATGATTTTGTTTTTTGTTTTGTTTTTGTTTTGTTTTTTTTGTTTTGTTTTGTTTTGTTTTTTTTGAGACAGAATCTCACTCTGCCGCCCAGGCTGAACTGCAGTGCTGCAATCTCTGCTCACTGCAACTTCTGCCTCCCAGGTTCAAGCGATTTTCCTGCCTCAGCCTCTTGAGTAGCTGAGACTACAGGCATGAACCATCACCCCCGGCTAATTTTTATATTTTTAGTAGAAACGGGGTTTCACCATGTTGGCCAGGCTGGTCTCAAACTCCTGACCTCAGGTGATCCACCTGCCTTGGCCTCCCTAAGTGCTGGGATTACAGGCGCAAGCCACCGCCCCCAGCCTTCTCGTTATGTTTTACTCCCATACCCAGAGCAACAGCGGTAGTATATAGCAGGTGGAGAAAATGTCCACCATAAAACAAATACGTATGCTTTGTATTCATTCAAAAATATCTTGTAAACTCTATTTCTCACTGAGCATTAGAACGCCAAATGAAATGCCAGTTTAGGAATTTATGTTAGACTTAGAAAGTTCTGAGCTCAATTGTTACAAGAGGGTGAAATGTGTTGTTTTGTCATAGCAGATGCTAAGAATATTATTAGATAGCAATTCTTAGATTGTCTGGGATGAACTCTTCCTCTGGGCAATAGAAGAGACTACAAATTTGCTTGTAGCCTTGTCTCAGTCTTAAAAATGTGCACTCTAAATCACAAGGGAATATCATCAAACATCAAGTTTCACCACTTCCACCAAGAGTTAGAAGCAGCTAGTTAATTTAACATGCATTTTTTTTTTTTTAGTATGGAAGATGTTTTCATAGACTCTAACTCATGGGAATCATACTAGAATCGATTACACAGTGAAAAAAGCAATACAGGAATATATTTGTACCATTACTTAACTATAAAAGCATAGGTGAGGAAGGAAACTTGCAAAACCCATTAAGAAAGTGTACCTGGAAGCCCTATTCTCAGACTAGCAAAATAAAAAACTTGAATCTCTTCCAGTGGAGATAAAATTACTTTATTGGAACAAAAATATTTTCAGCGAAAACTGAATGAAGGAACTCTGGCCATAAAAGGCAACTGGAAATATAATTTGCTGAATGATATCATAACATATCTACTACACATATGCTACCCTGCTCTGAAAGAGATATGAGACTCTACAAGATTGGACATTTTACTTCAAGAAAAAAGGTAGCAGCTACCTATTAACATGTAATATAATTGGGATTTCATTTCTAATATATGGAATAGCTGAGAAATGTCCTGGATTTTAAGATATGTGGCATTATCCCTTTGTATTTCAAATATTTATTTTTCAGTATTTTAAGAAAAGTTATCTAGAATATATTTCATATTTCTAACTTAGTGTAAAATGTGTAAGAAATGTGTGAGAAGTATAATTTATACTCTATATAGATAGAAGAAAAATGCTATATTATTGTTTTGTCACATTGTATTTAGTTTATTATTGGTGAGCTTAATATATAAAGTATATTTAAATATGCATAATTACACTTATATGTACATATGTTATATATATATACACACACAAACGTGTTTATATTTTGCCTAGTCAATTGAAAATAAGTTATAAATAACTTGACACTTCACCTCTGAATATTTCAGTGCATATTTCATATGAATTAAGACATTCTCCCAAATATCCATAACACCTAAGAAAATTGACAATAACTCAATAATATCTAATAAATATTTCATATTGAATTTTGAAATTTTCCCCAACATGTCTTTTAGAGCTGTTATTTTCCCCAATCCAAGAACTAATCAATGCTCACACATTTGCATGTGTTCGTTACGTCTCTTTAATACGTTCTCATTCGGAACTTTTTACCATTTGTTTCTTATGATGCTTTTGAAGAAGTGAGGCCCTTTGTCTTGCAGGGTGTCCCACATTCTGAATTTGCCTGATTGTTCCTTCATTTTTAGATTCAATTAAACATTTTTGGAAAGAATACTACATAAATGATAATGTGCTTTTTTATTGCATCACACTTGAGGACTTAACGATATCCAGATATATTACTATTGATGCTTTTAAGTTGGTCACTTGGTAATCAAGTGACTGCCAAATCTTTTCATGTATGGGTACATTTTGACCATTGTAATTAGTAAGTAATCTATGATATGATTCTTTAAAAAACCACATGAACATGATTTTTGCAGCATTTCATTTGTTTTAGCATTCATTGATAATCTTTGTCCTACTTAATTATTTTATTAGTTATTGCAACATGGAATATTCTAGAAATAAAAAAAGTTGCTGAAATTAAGAAATTATTACATGAGTTTAACAGGACATTAGACACAAATGATGAAATGATTAGTGAAGTAGAAGATCAATCAATAAGTAGAAATATCAGGACTGAAACACATATAAGGAAAAGGAAGGAAATATGAAGAAAACAATTCAGGAGATACTTAGGACACTGTAAGAGGTCTAATATGAGTGTAAAAACTCTGAGGAAAAGGAGACAAATAGTTGGGCATAAATAATAATTGAATAGATAATGGTTGACAGTATTCCAAAACTAAAAAGTCACTAAGTCACAGGTTCAAGAAATACTCCCATTTTCCAAGCCAGTTTAGTAAAATAATAGGCACACCAGAGTAAAACTTCTAAAGAGCAGAGGCAAAGAAAATATTTAAACTTAGCCAAAAAGACATATTCCCTTCGAATGAGTCATGCTAAGACAAACAGCTGAATTATAAAGCAGAAGAATAAAATATTGCCTTCCACTTATTGAAAGAAGATAACTATCAAGCTAGAATTCTATGCACAAAAGAAATATTCTTCAAAAATGAAGAAGAAACAAAATATTTTCACATACATGCTTGAGAAAATTTTTCAACAACAGATTTGCCTAATAAATAATAATAAAGGAAGTTGTTCAGTCATAAATAAATCACAGATGAAAGCAAGGAAAAAAGGGAAATGAATGAAGAGCAATGGGAATGATCAGTAAGTGCTAAATCCAAATGAACACTGATTTTATAATAATAGGTACTGCCTAAAATGCATTCAGAATTTAAAATATAATGAAAATACCACACAACCTGGGGATATATAGAATTTTATGTGTTCTAATGTCTTTTGGTTGTCTGACATATGGCAAAAAGTGCTAATTATATTATACTGCTTAAATAAGTTAAACATGCATATAATATTGTAATATCCAAGATGAACAATAAAAAATAGTACAGTAAATCGATTTTTAACTAAAATTTAATAGAAAGAAAATGGGAAAATAAAACAGAAATACTTGATTAATCCAAAAGAAGCTAGTGGTAAAAAGAAGCAAACAGCAGGTGGAAAAGAAAAACAATTTTTAAAGTATTAGAGAAAATTTAGCCTAGTGATTAAAACGTGTTATTGACCAATTTATACTTGTTTTAATCCCATCTTTTTCACTTCTTAGTGAGTAGTAAGATTATATAACACCCTAATAAGTCTGTTTTTTCCAGCTGTGTACAACAATTGCCTAAAAAATTAGATGGCTTTATTGCCTTGAAGGAATACTGAACGAGAAGTTTAAACAAGTGAATTCTAGCCTTGGTCTTACTAGTGTTTAATCGTGGCCAAAAAAAAAAAAAAAAAAGTCTTTATTCACTGGACATGTCATTTAGCTTTGGTGGTCGTTAGTATGTTGAATTTTTAAAAATAATTTTAAGAAGACTAACTTTGCCTACTTTTCAGAATTTCTTTTAAAATAAATGAAATGAAATTACATACATAAGAGAATGCTGAGAAGTGTGTCATGTTCAAATGTAAAATGTGTTTGACCTCCTTCGTAAGTGTTGAAATCACTTGTCATTATTGGTTCCCTAAAGGAGGAAACAAATAGGAAAAAAAAAAAAAAAAAAGGACTTTGTCATCCTACAAGTATTGTTCTTCAGAGAGGATAAATTGAAGCCTTTAGATAAATTAACTGCTAAAGTAAAGCCCTTCATGTTTAATAAACTTAATGGAAAGGAATAACTTCAACAAATACACAAGTTATTCAGTCTGTTCTTGAATAGCTGTTTCTTGATTCACACACATTTGGTAAGGTATTATTTAGAAAACATCAATAAACAAACTAGCTTTATCAGAACTGTAAGAGTATTTACAAAATAATTTTATATAAATCTATTCTCAAAAGAAAGAAGGGAAGGAAGGAAGGAAGGATGGAGGGAGGGAGGGACAGAGGGAGGGAGGGGGAAGGGAGGGAGGGAAGAAAGAAGGAAATAAAGAAAATTAATTGTTATACATACATTTGGTTTTCCAGTAATGTGTATAACTTTGAAGTGTCAAAAGTAATTCATGGTTCAAAAACTACATACACCAATTTTATTTGTTAAGAGTATTTTCTTTTAATTGTTAGGGATTAAAAATACCTTTCGTCTTTTTCTTAAGAAAAAAATTTTTTAGGTTTGTGACATCCAATTTTTATACATTTCATTCACCTTTTTATTTACTATGCTGGCAAAAATTTAACACATTTAACCTCTTCTTAGAACATGCAAGCATTTTGGAATATTTTAAATTTCTTCATCTAAATGTAAATAATGTTGTCAAGTATTACATATATAGATATAGATATATAGCATATATGTATAATAAATATATAAGCTCTACAAAATATTATTATTATCCTATCCAGTCACCACTCATTTATATTTGTCTACATATTTCTCCCGTCCATTACTTTTAATTCATTCCTGAACCTTAAAGCTGCCGTTTTAGGACATTTTCCGTCTTCTTAAGGAATGATCTTTACTGTTTTCTTCAGAACAAGCTGCTGAAGACAAATTTCATAATTTTGATTTTTCTGTACATTTTTTTTTTTTTCTGAGATGGAGTCTCCCTGTCCCCCAGGCTGGAGTGCAGTGGCGTGATCTCTGCTCACTGCAAGCTCCGCCTCCTGGGTTCATGCCATTCTTCTGCCTCAGCCTCCTGAGTAGCTGGGACTACAGGTGTCCACCACCACGCCCGGCTAATTTTTTGTGTGTGTGTGTGTGTATTTTTAGTAGACACGGGGTTTCACCGTGTTAGCCAGGATTGTCTCGATCTCCTGACCTCGTGATCCACCCGTCTCGGCCTCCTAAAGTGCTGGGATTACAGGCGTAAGCCACCAAAACCGGCCAAATGTTTTTGTTTAATTATCATTTTAGAAGACTATTTTATTGAACATAGAATTCTAGTTGATACATATCCTTTCCTTACTTTGAAAATATCATCTCACTTCTAATTTCTAATGAGAAACTTGGGGTCATTCTAGATCTATTTTCCTTCTGCTTAAAAACTTTCTATTGATGTACTTTAGCAGTTTTACCTTGTTGGGCCTAGGTGAGTCTTTTTTATTTATTATTCATTCTTCTTTGGGTTGAAAAGCCTTTTCTAAAAGACTATTGTTTCCTCCATTGTGTGTACTTGGTGCCTTTGTCAAAAATCAGGTGGCTGAATTGTTTTTCAGATAGTTGTTCATTTACAGAAATGCAACTGATTTTTGTATATTGACTGTGTATCCTATAACCTTAAAAAACTCATTCGTAAGTTCTAATAGCTTTTTGGCTCAGCTTTAGTGTTTTCTATATAAGATTATTTCATCTGCAAACTGGTCACCTTTGTCTTGTTCCTGATCTTTGAAAAAGCTTTTCACCACTGAGTGAGATGTTAGCTGTGGGCTTATCATATACGACATTTATAAGTTGAGGTACATACCTCCTATACCTAATTTGTTGGCAATTTTTATCATGAAAGAAGGTTGAATTTTGTCAAATCCTTTTTCTGCATCCATTTTAATAAACATATGTTTTTATTCTTCATGCTCTTAATGTGGTGTGTCTAGCTAAAGTTTTATCCATTTTACTTCTTTTAAAAAATTCGAGACTTAGTTTTATTAATCTTTTCAATTGTCTTTCTAGTCTCTATTTCTTCTCTTTTGGTTCTACTCATTATTATTTCCTTAATTCTGCTAACTTTGGGCTCAATTTTTTCTTCTTTTTAAAGTTCCTTGAGGTGTAAATTTGCGTTGTTTGAAGTCTTTCTTTTTTCTTAATGTAGGCTTTTATTGCTATAAACTTCCCTCTTAGAATTGCTTTTGCTGCATCTCATAAGTTCTGGTATGTTATGCTTTTGCTTTCCTTTATATCAAGATTTTTTTTCCCATTTGATTTTTTTCTTTTATCCATTTGGTGTTCAAGAGTGTGTTGTTTAATTTCCACATATTTATGGATGCTCCAATTTTTCTCCTATTATCAATTTCTAGTTTCACACCCTTGTGGTCAGAATAGAAGTTTAACATGATTTCAGTCTTCTTAAACTTAAGACTTTTTTTATAGCATAACATATGATCTATCCTTGACAATATTCTGTGTGTGCCTGAGAAGAACCTGTATTCTGCTACTTTTGGATGGAATGTTCTGTATATGTCTGCCAGGACATTTTGATCAATATTGCTATTCAAGTCTACTGTTTCTTTATTGATTTTCTGTTTGGATGTTGAAAGTGGGGTGTTGAAGTCTTCCACTATTTTTTACATTGGATGTTGAAAGTGGGGTATTGAAGTCCTCCACTATTTTTACATTGCTACCTGTTTTTCCCTTTAAGCCTGTTAATATTTTCTTTACATATTTAGGTGCTACAATGTTGGGTGCATATATACCTATTTACATATTCAGATGCTACAATGTTGGGTGCATATATATATATATATTTACATATTCAGATGTACAAAATAAATATATAGTTACATATTCAGATGCTACAATGTTGGGTGCATATATATATATATATACATATATTTATATATGTATATATATATATACATATATTTATATATGTATATATATATATTTACATATATTTATATATGTATATATATGCACCCAACATTGTAGCATCTGAATATGTAAATATATATATGAAAGTTTATCCTCTTCCTGAATCACCACTTTATCATTATATAATGACATTTTTGTTTTTTGTGACAGATTTTGACTGAATTCCTATTTTTTCTAGTATAAGTATAGCCACCTTGCTCTTTTTTAGTTACCTCTTGCAGGAAGTGTTTTTTCTGTCTTTTAACTTTCAGCCTATAAATGTCCTGAAAGCTAAATTGAATATCTTGTAGGAGGCACATTGTTCAACTTTTTAAAAATATGTTCAGCTATCCTGTGCCTTTTGATCAGATACTTTAATCTATTTACATTTAAAGTCATTATTTAAAACACTTACTGCTGACATTTTGTTTTCTGACCATTTTGCGGTTTCTTTGTTCCGATATTTCTCTTGTGTGATCTTATTTGGTGACTTCTTTATGGTTTTAGTGGTACACTTTGATTCATTTCTCTGTTTTGAGTATCTACCAGAGGTTTTTTCTTTCTGATTACCAGGAGGACTATATAAAATATTTACTGTAATAGCAGTCTATTTTAGCTGATAACAACTTAAGTTCAATCACATACAAAACTTCATACTTTTGTTTCTCTTCTCACACACATTTTACGCTATTGGTGTCACACTTTATACCTTTTTATATTGTGTATCTATTAATAAATTAATGTAGCTATAGTTATTTTTAATCCTTTTGTATTTTTACTCTTACACTGGAGTTAAAGGTGATTTCTGCATCACCATTACACTATTACAGTATTCTGAACTTGAATATATATTTAGCTTTATTTATAAGCTTTATACCTGTACATGTTGTTAAACAACAGGTTTTCATGTTGTTACTTAATATTCTTTTGTTTTAACTTGTATAGTACCCTCTAGCATTTTTTATAAGGCATGTCTAGTCGTGATGAACTCCCTTGGCTTTTGTTTGTCTGGGAATGTCTTTATGTATCCATTTCTGAAGGATTGTTTTGCCAGGTGTATTACTGGCTGTAAGGGTTTTTTTTCTTTCAATGCTTTGAGTATATTATCCTACTTCTTCTTGGTCTGCAAGGTTTATGCTGAAAAACATCTACTCATAACTTTTTCAGGTACCTTTTTATGTGATAAGCCATTTTTCTCTTCCTGCTTTCGAAATTATTTTGGTATTTGACTCCTGACAATTTTATTACAATACACAGCAAAGTACTCTCTTTTGGACTGATCTTCATTAGGTATGTTTCAGATTCATAAATCCAGATGTCCATATTCCTTTTAAAATGTAGAAAGTTTTCAGTTGTTGTTTCTTTAAATAAGTTTTCTGGCATTTTCTCTCTCTCCTCCTTCTAGGACTTAATGTATATGTTTGTTTGTTATAGGCTTTTCATGTTTCCTGTATGCTTTCTTCACTCTTTTTCATTTATTTTTTTTTCCCTAACTGGTTAACTTCAGGTGACCTCTCTTTTAGTTAACCGAATCTTCCTTCTGCATGATTGAGTGTGCTGTTGAAGTTCTTAACTGAATGTTTTCAGTTCTATTATTGTATTTTTTATCTCTAGGATTCTAGCTTTTATGGTTTCTATTTCTTTATTAAACTTCTTATTTTGTTCCTTCATTTTTTTCTAATAATGTTTAGTTTTCTGTGTTCTCTTGCATCTCATTGAGCATCTTTAAGATGATTATTTTGAATTCTTTGGCACGTAATTCATAGATCTCCATTTCTTTGGGGGATGGTTACTAGGGCTGTATTGGTTTCTTTTGGTGATGTTATGTTGCCTGATTCTTCATGATCTGCATAGCTTTGCATAGATGTCTGTGTATTTGAAGGAAAAAACAAACAGCTCTTCAGTCTTTACACACTGGTTTTGGCAGGTAAAGATCTTCTATTGTTAGGTCCCTCAGATTTATGAGACTGCCTCCAGGATCACAGTTGAGTGGTGTTGGAGCCAGGTCATATGGCTGCTGCTGGATCCACAGGGGAATCCATGATTACCAGGCCTGTTATTAGTAGTTCAGGTAGACATACATGAATCCTGTCTGATACCTGGGTGGATAAAATTTCCTCCAGGACCTTAGTCAGTAGGGCTGATGTTGGGACAAGAGTCTATTTCATGGTCTGCCATTGGATCTCTAGACAGTGGGACTGTTACCAGATGTCTCTTGCTGGGTCCCTGGGTGAACAGGACTGCTCCCAGATAGCAGCTGGGAGGGATCAGAGGCAAGACACAAAGCTGCTTCATAATCCATGGTCAAACCAGTGCCAGCAGTTCTACCTCTGAGGTCACAGATAGTCATGTCTCCCAAATAATTCCACAGGCAAGACTGCTCCTGGACCATGCTTGAAGGGGCTAGAGTTGGATCATGCACTACTTCAGGGTCCATAACCTGAACTGAAGTCCCAGGTGCTTTTGGCTTTTCCTGTGTTTCTTGGCAGATGGTTCTGGTGTTAGAACTAAGGCCAAATGAAGTTGTAGCTGAATCCAAAGAGGTACATAGCTGATTTTAGGTTTATAGCCAGAACCATGGTCAGTAAGCCTGCCAGATGGGAGCATACGTGTCTTTTCAAAATGGCACTACTCAGTCTTGGGCTCCATCTGGGTTTCACAACCTCCTACCTGGATGCCAAAGCTCCCACAAAGGCAATTTTGTCCATGGATAAATATTGTTGCTGTTGTGGGATATGAGTGAGGCACCTCCTATTTCACTGTTTTCCTGGTATCACTCTTTCATTTTGTTATTATTTATAGTTTCACTTTTTCTGTAAAATTTTTCAATTTTTTTCTTTTAATTCCTTAAACAGGCACACCATGGTTATTTTAAAGTCTGTGTCTGTTTACTTCATTTTCTCTTTTTCTTACTGGTTATTTCTATATTCTCTTCTCTTGGTTTTTAATCATGTTGACTGCCTCCACGAATTACTTCATTTTTTATTGAAATTATAAATGAAATGTTATGAAAATGTGATGACATTAATTCCCTCTAGAAAGGATGCACCTTCCACAAGCATTTCTTTTACTGCTGTATAATCTTTTATTAAGGGTTGCTCAAAAAAAAATAGGAATTGGCTATTCTAACTTAGCAATTATCCAGGACAAGTAAGTGCTTGACTAATTTAGTTAATCTTGCAAATTAAAATTTGACCTTTAACGATACTCTTTATTGATCTATTTAATAACTATATATTGTTAAATATTTTTAAATCTATGCAGCTAGGAGAGCTAGTAATGATAGATCACTTGGATCCTTTTACAGAGATAAGGGTGACTTGATCTGGGCTAACGTTTTTTGAAGGGTTTTTCTACTTATTTTTCAATCTTATTTCTATGGTGTAACCTTTCAAATTCCAATCCAAAGGTGGGAAATTGACTAGTGCTATCCCTTCTTGATAAATTCTGGATACCAATATTTTCCCATAGTCCTACAAGTCTATCTAGGTTTTGCTCTGTTATTTCCTTCTAAGCCTTTTTTTCTAGAATTGACAGGTATCTCTTCTTGAAATACTACCCCAAGTGTCAGGCTTACTTCTCTGAGTTTTTATCTATCCCTGAATCTGACTTCATAATTCCTCACTACCTGTTGACTCTATGTGCTTTCAAGCAATTTTGTGTTTATATTTTGTCCATTTTTCTAGACATTCTAGATGATCTGCATTTTTTGGCTGCCATTTCTAAAAGCATTTCTCTGTTACCATTTGCTAAAGGTTACTCAAAAAAAGTATGGTTTGCCTGTTTTAATTTAGTAATGACATAAGACAAACAGAAACAGTGTCTGAACAATTTTATTTAACTCATTTTTGCAAAGAACTTATTTTAGAATACTTTGTGTTATCTACTTAACAATTATTTATTGAGGGCTTACTATGCACAAAGTACTGCTTCAAATCATGAGCATACAGTAATGAAAAGACACCCAAGTTTCTTACCTCTCAGCACTTACTTTGTCACTGGTGTAATATAAAAAGCAAATGGATAAGAAACTATATAACTTCAGATTATCATAAATGGTATGAAGAGAATAAACCGTGAATTGTTATAGAAAAGTAAATTGCAAGATAAAACTTAAACATTAAAAAGAATCCCTTGTGCACAGTGGTGGGAAAATGGTGTCCAGGCATAGGTAACTAAATAAAAAAATACCCTGAGAAAGAAAAAAAAGCTTGCTATATTAGCAGATCATGGCTAAACTATGATGTTGTTAGCAAGCAATTAGTATAATTTGAAATTCAAAAGGAGCACAGAGTCTGGATCATGTAGAACCTTGTATAAGAACAGCTCAGCTTTGTTCCATAACTTTTTAAAATTGAAGATCATATAAGTTATGGTGCTGTATTATAGCTGAGTTAGCTGCCATAATATTTCTTCCCATTTTCTTACCAAAAAATGCTGTCAGCCCACTAAACTGGTAGGAGTGCCCTATACTGTCAAAACACTTCATAACTACATTGTTTCTACTGACAGTTTTACCTCTTGGAGGGTAGTGGAAGCAACTGGGGAAATTGCTACTCTGAACTTAATAACAAACAAAAGGGAAAAATTGGTTGGAAAAGTAAAAGTGATAAGAACCATGGGGACAGGAAATAATACTTCTTTAGAATTTAAAATCGCACCAAAAGAAAATCCTGAGCACATTCAGACAGTCATTAAATCTTTGAAGAAAATGTTTTTATTAGTTTAAAAACAAAGTGAAAATGGACTCAGGATGTTGGAACCTAAGAAGGAAGACCGCAAGTGTTTCAGAATGTTCCACAAAAAATAGTTCTGCTTACATCATTATGGAAGGAATTTTGATGAGACAGGTCATAGAGGGAAAAGAAAAAAAGGCTAATATAGCCATAAAGAATGCTTTTAAATCAAGTAATACACTTGACTTAGAAAGACAAGCCAGCGGCAATTATAAAATAATGACACCTAAGAATGTTTTCAAGAAGTCTGGTTCATAATGCATTCAAACTTAAAAAAATATTAAAGACAACTAAAAAAATTTTGCTCATTTTTGGAGCAAAAAAACTACCAAAGAAGGAGCAGCTTGAGGGAATATTAATGGATTATGAGAAGAAAATGAAACTGAACTATTTTGCGTTATCCTACAAGATGAATGATTATAGAGTACAATAGACTGACTAACCAGGAGTTGAAAGCCAGATCATAAGATATTTGAAGAGACACAGTAACCTCTCAAAATGAGGCCAATTTTCTTAGATCAGGTGAGTTACCCCTGGAGTGTTAAAATAATTTGCAAATGAATTTGCTGAAGAATATGTGATGGGCATTCATCTTTCAGAAATCTTAGTGAGTAGAGATGAGCTGGTGAAAGCCTAGAGAGAATCTAATATCTTTCTAATATTCAAAAGAGCAGAGAACAAAGTGAAAAATCCTGAAGACTGTTCTTATCTAAATAACACTTTCAGAACGGATTATAACGGTATAGTTTATGAACTTTACAAAATGAAGCTGTTTTTATTAGGAAATAGTAAGTTTACTAATGGCAAGTTATATATTCTAATGCATTTTTCCATCTCTCCTTTGCTTTCTATGCTCCAACCACAGAGATCTCCCTTGCATCCAAAAACCTGGCATACAGTTTGGGTATCCCTTCTCCAAGATATGTGGGGCCAGAAAATTTTCAGATTTTGGAATATTTGCATATATATAATGAGATATCATGGGATCAGACCCAAGTCTAAACACAAGAATTCATTTATATTTCATATACACCTTGTCCACGTAGCTTGAAGGTAATTTAATCCAATATTTTTTAATAATTTTGTGCATGAAACAAATTTTTGACTGCATTTTGACTGTGATCCATCACATGAGATCAGGTGTGGTATTTTCTATTTGTCGCATCATGTTGGCGTTCAAAAAGTTTCAGATTTTGGAGCATTTCAAATTTAAAATTTTCAGATTAGGAATTCTCAACCTGTAATAGAAATGCAGTAAATTTTGTTGAACAGATTATTCAATTTTCTCTAATATGACATCCTTCAGTGGCATTTTCCACACAAGGCCTCTGCACATACTCTTCCCTCTGCCTGTAATGCTCTCATTCTCTTGATTGACACTCTCTTAAACCAAAATTTCTCTGACTCCAGGTCAGAGAAATTTTGGTCATAAACTCTTTGTAGGGCAGTTTTTGAGTGTAGGCAATCTCTTTTATAGATACTTGAAGAAAAGCTAGAGAAATATAATTTGGTTGTGGTTCAGTTAAGTTGAATAGCAACTTTGGATTAAATGACTATATCCAAGAGATAGAGATCAAATAGAGTCTGGAGACAGTGTATGTTATATGCTAACTGTCACTTCATATGATAAAGCAGTGATTTATTTTCTTTGGCCAAAGCTGGTACAATTTGAACAACAAAATAAATAAGAGAGTAATCACATGAGTAGTTTTAAGCACTTCCTGACTTTCTGGTACTAAAGATGCTCCAGGCAAGTATGACTTTTATACTTGACAAAAAAGGTAAACATCGAGGCCTCATTCTCAGTTGTTTGGGTTCAGGTGGCTCTCTGTACTCTCTCCACAGGGAAACTTTCCAAGAATTTTGTGGTTTTCTGCAGGATTTCTCACTGTAATATCACAAGGACATTCTCTCTCCCATTGATCTTTTCCCCTTAGGCATATTCAGTTACCATCTAAATTAATAAGAGTCCATCTTGGTAGTCTTCCTATTTTAGGCTACTATATAAATGACATACAAGATAGATTTACAGATCAAATAAAACATTTTGCTTGGGGGAAAAAATTTACTTCCACAAATGTGTTCTAAATAAGCTTTTTTAAGTTTAGAATAGCTTTAAATATACAGAAAAATTGAGAAGGTAGTACAAATAGTTTCCATACACCCGTACCCAGTTTCCACTATTAGTAGCATCATGCATTGTTATGGTGCATTTGTCACTATTAATGAACTGATATTGATTATTATCGTTCATTGAAGTCCATATTTTATGTATAGTCCTTAGTTTTTACCTAATGTCCTTCTTCTATTCCAGGATCTCATCCAGGAAACAATATATTAATAATATTTAGTTGTCATGTCCACTTAGGTTCCTCTTGACTGCGACTTTCTGCAGGCTTTCCTTATTTTTGATGACTTTCATGGTTTTGAGGAGTATTGGTTAGGTATTTTTTGTAAAATGTCCCTCAATTGAAATTTTTCTAATTTTTTCCTCATGATTGGGTTTGAATTATATAATTTGAGAAAGAAGAACACAGAGATAATTTGCTATTTCCATTCCATGATAATAACGGTACATAAAATCAACATGTCTTGTCTCTGTTAACTTTGGTCACACAGCTGAGGTGGAGTTTGTCGGAGTTTTATCAGTGTAAACTTATTCCCCACTGCCTCACACTATGCTCTTTGGAAGTCACTATGCACAGCTCACACTCAAAAAGTGGGGAATTATTCTCCAATTTCTTGAAGGCAGAATACCTACATAAATTACTTGAAATTTTTCTGCTTGGAAGATTTGTCTATGATCTCCATTTATTTATTTATTCAAATATTTATTTAAGTCCCTATTTACTCATGGGTATTTATTTCATAATTTGGGTTATAATCTAATACTGTCCTTTTATTTTGTTGCTCAAATTACTCCAGCTTTGGCAATTTTGAGCAACATGCATCATTATGGGTTTTTTATTTGTTCGTTTTTTGGATTTTTTTAAGTACTTCTTTACTTTCTGGTACTACATGATGCTCCAGGCTCATCTTGAATATTTCCTGCCTTGTGCTGGAATCAGTCATTCCTTCCCAGGGAAGCCTGGCTTCTTTCATTCAAGAATGGTATTCAAAACCAAGATCTGGGTATGCTCATTGCCACTTTAGTGTCATTGTTTTTGGGTTCCCTCGACTGACAGAACGAGGACATAGATGTATGTACACTAAACCATATATACACACATAGTATAATCATTCCTGTATGTAACCATCTGTATCTATATTAAGCCAAACATGAGTTCATACTGAGGTCTCCAACTCTAATTTGTATGGATCATTCTAGCCCCCTTTCCTTGATTACCTCAAAATCCCTCTGAGAGAAACCTGGCTCCCACTATTCACCATTCAATTTACTTAAGTGCCTTGTTCAATTCCAGTATATATGTATGATGGTTTCAGAATTGTTCATCAATACACCTGGGAAGCAATATTATCCCTACATCACAGCATAATGTTTATGTAAAGTCCACGTTGTCTTTTGTCGTATAGACTCCACTCTTCCAAAGTTACTGAGGTCAACAGGTTTTTCTCCCATGCTCTTCAGTGAGATTGCCTCATACATTGGTAACACAGACAGATTTTGGAGGGGTGTCACATTCTGCATTCCATTCTGGGATCCTTTATTCTCCTAAGATTTTTGCATAAAATAATATTTAATCTTTGTCTCAGGTTTTGGGTTTGACAGATACATAGTGTTATGTATTTACCATTGCAGCATCACACATAATAATTTCATTGTCCTAAAAGAATCTCTTCTTTTTATTTAACCTTTCCCCTTCCCCAAAAAACTTTGGAAACCATTGATCTGTTCGCCATCCTTCTAGCTGTGTCTTTTTCAGAATGTCATATAATTTGAATCATAAAATATGGAGCATTTTCAGACTGGCTTCTTTCACTTAGCCATATGCCCTCAAGATTCATCTATGTCTTCACATGGCTATATATCTCATTCTTTTTAATCAACAAATAGTATTCCATTGTATGAATGTACCAAGGTTTGTTTATTCATTTATTGAAGGATATCTTGATTACTTCCAATTTTGGTGGTTTATGAATAAGGCTGCTGTAACCATTCATGCGCAAGTTTTTTTGTGTCCATAATTTTTTCAACTAAGATGGGTCAATATCTAGGAGCACAATTGCTAGATCATATAATATGGCCATGTTTAGCTTTCTAAAGAGCTGCCAGTCTTACAAAATAGCTGTACCATTTTGTATATTCACTAGCAATAAATAAGTTGCTCAGCATCTTTGCCAGAATTAGGTGTTGTCAGTTTCCTGGATTTTTTTTATCTTCCTAATAGGTTTTAAGTACTATCTCATTGTTATTTTAATTTGTGTTTCCTTAATGACAAATGATGTTGAGCAAATTTTTCATATGCTTGTTGCCATTTCCTTTGATGATATGTCTGTTCATATTTTTTGCCCATTTTTAATTGGTTGTTTATTTTGTTATTATTGAATTCTAACAAGTTATTTGTTTTATTTTATTTATTTATTCCTTTTTTTGAGATGAAGTATTGCTCTGTTGCCCAGGCTGGAGTGCGGTGGCACAATTGCAGCTTCCACCTCCAGGGTTCAAGCAATTCTCCTGCCTCAGTCTCCTGAGTAACTGGGATTACAGTCATGGGCCACCATGCCCGGTTACAAGTCTTTTATTAGACTTGTATTGTGCAAATATTTTCTTTTAGTCTTTGGCTTACCTTTTCATTCACTTAACAGTGTCCTTCAAAGAGAAGAAAGTTTTAATCTACTAAAGTTTATTAGTTTTTCCTTTCTTGGATTGTGCTTTGAGTGTTGTATCAAAAATCAAATCACCAAACCCAAGGTCATGTAGATTTTCTCCTGTGTTTTCTTCTCAGAGCTTTATAGTTTTGCATTTTACATTTAGATTTATGATCCAGCTTGAGTTAATTTTTGTGAAAAGGTTAACGTCTGTGTCTGTGTTCAATTTTTGGACTTTCTATTGTTCCAGCACATGTTATTAGGTGTAAACACACTTAGGATCGCTATATATCCTGGGAGAATTATCCCTATTATTATTAGGGAACACCCTTTTCAAACCTCATAATCTTCATTACTCTGAAGTCTGCTTAGTCTCAAATTAATATAGGTTACATCTATTTTCTTGTGATTAGTATTAGTGTGGTATGCCTATCTTCATCTCTGCATTTAACCTGTCTCACTCTATTTTTAAAGTAGCTTTCTTTCACACTATATGTTTGGGTCTTGTTTTGTAATTCACTCTGAAAATCCATATCTTTCAAGTGGTTTATTTAGACTACTCATATTTAAAGTGATTACATATGTAATTGGATTCATATTTGTAACTATTTTCTATTTGGGAAATTTATTCTTTGTTTCCTCCTCATTTTTCAGCTTTCTCTGGTTTAACTGAGCTTTTTATAGAATGTCATTTTCTTTCCTTAGAATTATAGTTATTTTTAAAGTTCTCAGTGGTTACCTTAGAGTTTACAACATGTGTTTTGAACTAATGTAGGTATTTTTAACTAATCTAAGTCCACCTTTATGTAATACTATACCACTTCATATGTAATGCAGGTACCTTAACAAGAGTATTCTCAGTTCCCCTTTTCTGTTTCTGTGACATTGGTGTCATTTATTTAACTTAACCATATGCTGTTATTATTCAATACAATGTTACTGTCATTACTTTAAATAGATAAATTTTAGATCCATTAAGAACTTTAAAAAGGTAAAGATTTTATTTTTCTTGCAGAGCAGGTATCCTGACAATGAATCTCTGATTTATTGTTTATTTAAAAAAAAATCTTAATTTTTCCCTTCACATTGAAGGATACATTTGCTGGATATAAAATTTTAGATGATGGGTTATGTCTTTCAACATCTTAAATATTTTATTCCACTCTCTTCTTGCCTGCATGGTTTCTGACAAGAAATCAGCTGTAATTCTTATACTTATTACACTCTGTAGTAGGATTTCCTCACCTTATCTCCTCAGGCTATTTTCAAGATTATCTCTTAGTCTTGGTTTTCTGCAGTTTAGCTATAATATAGATAGGTGTATGCTTGGGTTATTATATTTACATTCTATGAGCTTCTTGAATTTGTGCTTTGGTATCTGTCATTAATTTTGGAAGTGTCCCAAACATTGCTACTTTAAATATTTCTTCTGCTATGTTCTCTCTTTCTTCTTCTTCTGGTATTCCAATTACAGGCATGTTATATCTTTTTAAGTTGTCTCACAGTCCTGAATGTTCTAGTCTCCTTTTATTCATTCTTTTTCTTGTGCATTTCATTTTGGAAAGTTTCTATGTACCTCTCATCACTAACATCATGAAAAACTGAGACATTATCTTAACATTATCTTTAGTGCAGCACATGCTTAGCAGAGAATCAACAGTGTAAACTTAGTCAACTCTGTTCTCATGAAATCTTTTTGTTCTATTTATCATTTCACTCTTTTCTGTTTTATTTGACAGAATAAAAATACCAATTCATTTATCTAGTATTTTTTATAACCCAATATACAGCTTTTTGCATTTTCAAAATCCAGCTATCATGTTTTTAATCTCCAGATATTTTTCTTGGATATTTCATTACTTCTACTCTAGTTTTTCTCAAATCATAATACATTTGCAGATTATGGATTTTTAAAAGGCTTCTCTAACTTCTTATAGCATAAGTCTGTTTTATAGGGGGGAATTTTACTGCCTCAGACTAATCTCATTTAAAATTGTGCAGTTTTCAATATATTGGTAAACTTTTTGGTTTACTTAACCTTTGAGAGAGAGGTCAAATATTTGAATAATATTGGGCTGAGATAAATTTTGAGAAATTGGGTGATTGAGTCCCAGTTCAAATCATAAAGGCAAGAACATAAAAACTTACATTTATTATAATTTTACTTTACAGTATTAGTGAAAAAGGACATTATACATGGATGCAATCACAGCATGGATTTTTCTCTTTGTTGCTGAAAATTTTCTCTTCTGTAATTGTGGAGTAGTCCCAATTATTTCCATATAACTATTCTCACTGGCTTGACAGCTCTGGGAACTACCTTCAGCTATCTCTGTAATTTAGTTTAAAAATGTAATATGAGAATAATATCTACAGCAGGTTCCCTGCCCTACATAAATCCTAGTATCTAGAAAATTTTGATGGCTTAATTAGGATAAAAGGTTGCTTCTCTATAAAACATACTTTTATCTAGCTCTTGCCTTTCAAAATTAGGTAATTGTAGTAGTTCTTTCAATGTTCTCTGAGTTTGGCTATATTTTATATACAGTGAGTTGTGGTATGATATGGTTTCCCAATACAGTTTCTCCCTCTGTTACAGCCTTTAGACTCAAGTCTTTTAAACACAATACACACTCTTTTCTAATTTTTATTATTGATACATATTTTTCACTGTTATTATATTCTCTTGGTAATTTAATGATGTTTTGTGAGAGATGAATGATAGAGGAATGAAAGTGAGAAAGATTAACATTTTATACTTTTATTATAATTATATTTAAAGTATACAGTCAGTGAAATCTTACTAATCACAAATATTACATTCATCTAAATTCTACAGAGCATCTTATTTCCCAGGAGGGCTTATGAGATTTTTTTTTTTTACCACTGGTTTTCAACAATTTTGGTAAATGTATTAAATACAATACTATACAGTAATAAAAGGGAACAAACTACTGATATACTCAACAACATGGGTAAATTTCACAGATAACATGTTGCGTGAATGGAGTCACATGCCAAAGAGTAGGGTTGGTATGATTCTATTTACATACATTTTTAGAACATGGAAAACTAATCTGTGGTGATAGAAATCAGAGCAATGGAGACTGGCAGGAAGCAGGAGAAGGTGATCACCTGGGAGGTAATAGAAAAGGATTTTCTTCTGTGCTGCAATTGAACTATGCACTGATTGGGATGTGGGCCCATGGGTTTATACATTTGTCAAAATTTATCATATAGTATTCTTAAGATCTGTGCATTTCACTGTATATAAATTATAGTTTAATTTAAAATGCTATGATAAAATAGCTGCACTAAAAGGAAAAATTGTTTGTTTAAAAAATTGCAATGTATAAACCTGGGAAATTAAAATCTTAAATATCTAGCAAAATTTTAGTAATCAATACTCCATCCTAGTAGAAAATTAGAAAACCATAAATACAAATATTTTACAAAAATTAATTAAAATGGCATTAAAATACATGAAAAATTTTAAACTCCTTTAGTAATTAGAGAAATGTAACTTTAAATCATAATGATTTATATATAATTTTTTGCCTTCCACATGTTCACTTATTATAAATGCCATATAACTATATATTTTAACATTTTTATATAGTAGACCTTCAAATAGTCGATGGGTGAATAAACTAATGCTTGCTAATTTAAATAGTCAATGTTTGATATGGCTTGGATCTGTGACCCCACCCTAATCTCATGGAGCTTGTTGGGGGGTTTGTTTGCTTGTTTTTGTTTTTGAGATGGAGTCTCACTCTGTGGCCCAGGCTGGAGTGCAGTTGCTTCATCTCAGCTCACCACAACCACTGCCTCCCGGGTTCAAACAATTCTCCTGCCTCAGCCTCCTGAGTAACTGGGATTACAGGCGTGCGCTAACACACCTGGCTAATTTTTGTATTTTTAGTAGAGTCAGGGTTTCACCATATTGGCCAGGCTGGTCTCGAACTCCTGACCTCAAGTGATCCACCCTCCTCGGACTCCCAAAATGCTGAGATTACAGGCATGAGCCATGAGGCCAGCTCCTAATCTCATGCTGAGTTGTAATCCCCAATGCTGAAGTTGGGGCCTGGTAGGAGGTGATTGGATCATGGGGGCAGATTTCCCGCTTTGGTGCTGTTCTCATGAAAGAATTCTCACCAGATCTGGTTGTTTAAAAGTATGTAGCAAGTTCTCCGTTCCCCTTCTCCCTCTTGCTCCTGCTCTGGTCATGGAAGCTGTGCTTTGCTTCCCCTTCGCTTTCCACCATGATGGTAAGTTTCCTGAGTACCCCCTGGAAGCCGAGCCGATGCCAGAATCATGCTTCCTGTACAGTCTATGGAACTGTGAGCCAATTAAACCTTTTCTCTTTACAAATTACCCAATCTCAGGTATTTATGCATAGCAGTGCAAGAATGAATTAGTATGTTTTAACGTAAATATTATTAAAATTGTAAATTATATATTTATAATTTAAAGAAAATGAGTGGATCTTAAGGATAATAACAATAAAACAGGTATCTAATTATATGGGAGGAAATTAAAGATGTAATAGTAAATTTTATAGCTTCCATTACTTAAAATTACGTAACTACAGAATTAAAATAAGTTAACATTTATATTCTGTTCTAAAATTATGATAAAATAAATTTTAACAAAGAAAAATAAAATTAAACACAAAATTTAGGAATAAGTTGATTAATTTAAGGAAAAAATAGAATTGTTTACTGTAAAGAGCTAATTCTTGGAAGCAATAACAATAAAATTAAAAGCAATTATCAATATTATCAAGAATAAGTGAAACAAGCATAATAATAAATAATACATCAAGAAAATTATAAATTATAAGGGGTATAGCATACAGAATTTCATGCTAACAAATTTGAAAAGAAAAAGGATTTTCTTTTCCGAAGAAGAATTAGGAAACTTTAAAATGCAAAAATAATAAAGATATAAGGAAAAACTAAGAAAAAAAGTGAGAAGCAAAAATACACTATTAAGGTTTACAAAGAGACCTAAAAAAGAGCTAGAAAATGGAAAGATATATCATGAGCAATCGCAAAACAATTAAATAAATCTATGTTTAAATACTATCTTAATCAATGACAAGATAACAAAAACTATTTCTGAAGTTAATTAAAAGTATAAACTAAGGATGCTAAGGAAAATAGAGCTATGAAATTTTTAAAAATAAAAGTAATGAGAAAAGATTCATTAACAGAAGTTAAAATATATTACAAAGAGAATTCATAAAAAATTCATAAACAGATCCATGTATATATTTTAACTTGGTTTGTGATGAAGACAGCATTGCAAAGTGAAATGAAATAAATAATATTTGAGCAACTGGATTTACACATTGAAGAAAAATAGAATATTAGTATGTAAATTCCATGCTAATTAGTATTACAAAAGTAGTAAAACGTAAGTTAATATTAATGGTGGGATTTTCTAATTAAAACACAAAAGCCAAAAGAAAAAACTGACAAATTTTATTTCATACAGACTAATAGCCTTCCTAAAACAAAATACAGCATAATTAAAGTTAAAATATTCAGCAAAGTTCTGGGGAACAATTTGCAACATATATAACAGACAAAGATTACTATCCAGTATACGTTTACAGAGTTCTTAAAAGTCAATATAAAAAACAACTCAATAGAAATAAGGAACAAGATATAAACAGGCAATTCACAAAGAAAAATCACAAATGCCTAATAAATATTTATAAGGGTGCTCAACCTGACTTAATAATAAAAATACAAATTAAAAGGAATTACTTTTTATAATATTGGCAAGAATTATAAACAGTAATAATATCAAGCCTTGGCAAGTTTACAAAGAATACTAATTTCATATGCTCCTACTGTGAGTATAAATTGGAGAAACCATTCTGAAATACAAGTTGACAGTCTATCAAAATAAAACTGTGCATCTCTGATGACTCAGCAGTTATACTTCTAAGAAACAATTATAAAGAAATATTCCCAGCTGAGCACCAAATTGTACATTGTAAAATGATTTCTTTTTTGTGGAGGTAAAAATTGGAAACCTAAATGCCTATCAATAAATTATTTTTATATTGTGTTACACAACTATTTTTTAAAATGAGATAAGCTTTTATGTGCTTGTACAAATCTTAACCCTAACTCTATAAATGGAAATTAAGAGATACAGAGACTTTTTAAAAAGATTTTATAGCTGATATGCACATGCGATGTCCTTACACTAATAAGCATGATAATCCACACCAACGAATGGGATAGAGGATGGCATGAAGACCAGAGATTGTTGTATCCATTCTTTGGTCATAAAAAAAAATAGTGTTTTGAATTTATTAAGGGATGAAAGGCTGACTTTTTGGATAAATTTAAATTGTTCCTTTAAGAAAAGGGCAGCAACAAACATTCACTTCAGCCTCGGCATGTATCTGGAATTTTGTTTTTGCAAAAATCTCAGCTGCATTTGGCAAAATTTCATGTTCTTTAAATAAGAAGATTAGTTAAAACAAAACAAAACAAAAAAGAGATGCAGAGACTAAAGGTAGAAGTATCCATTTCTAGCTGATAGAAATCCTAGAAAGTGAAAAATAAATAAGAAAATGAGGGGAGGAAATAACTGAAGACATAACAGTCATAATTTTTTGTAACTAAAGAAAGATACATGCTCTCAGTTGAGAAGCCTCATGAAGTACACAGCAGAGCAGAAAAGACAAAATAATGGATATTTATATTTGTAAATCTAAAACACAGAACGCCATCGGAAGTTCTCAAAGTTTCTTTTTTTTTTGAAGGTTTTTTTTATTTTATTTTATTATTATTATACTTTAAGTTTTAGGGTACATGTGCACAATGTGCAGGTTAGTTATATATGTATACATGTGCCATGCTGGTGTGCTGCACCCATTAACTCGTCATTTAGCATTAGGTATATCTCCTCATGCTATCCCTCCCCCCTCCCCCCACCCCACAACAGTCCCCAAAGTGTGATGTTCCCCTTCCTGTGTCCATGTGTTCTCATTGTTCAATTCCCACCTATGAGTGAGAACATGCGGTGTTTGGTTTTTTGTCCTTGCAATAGTTTACTGAGAATGAAGATTTCCAATTTCATCCATGTCCCTACAAGGGACATGAACTCATCATTTTTTATGGCTGCATAGTATTCCATGGTGTATATGTGCCACATTTTCTTAATCCAGTCTGTCATTGTTGGACATTTGGGTTGGTTCCAAGTCTTTGCTATTGTGAATAGTGCCGCAATAAACATACGTGTGCATGTGTCTTTATAGCAGCATGATTTATAGTCCTTTGGGTATATACCCAGTAATGGGATGGCTGGGTCAAATGGTATTTCTAGTTCTAGATCCCTGAGGAATCGCCACACTGATTTCCACAATGGTTGAACTAGTTTACAGTCCCACCAACAGTGTAAAAATGTTCTTATTTCTCCACATCCTCTCCAGCACCTGTTGTTTCCTGACTTTTTAATGATTGCCATTCTAACTGGTGTGAGATGGTATCTCATTGTGGTTTTGATTTGCATTTCTCTGATGGCCAGTGACAGTGAGCATTTTTTCATGTGTATTTTGGCTGCATAAATGTCTTCTTTTGAGAAGTGTCTGTTCATGTCCTTCGCCCACTTTTTGATGGAGTTGTTTGTTTTTTTCTTGTAAATTTGTTTGAGTTCATTGTAGATTCTGGAAATTAGCCCTTTGTCAGATGCGTAGATTGCGAGAATTTTCTCCCATTTTGTAGGTTGCCTGTTCACTCTGTTTTGCTGTGCAGAAGCTCTTAAGTTTAATTAGATCCCATTTGTCGATTTTGGCTTTTGTTGCCATTGCTTTTGGTGTTTTAGACATGAAGTCCTTGCCCATGCCTATGTCCTGAATGGTAATGCCTAGGTTTTCTTCTAGGGTTTTTATGGTTTTAGGTCTAACGTTTAAGTCTTTAATCCATCTTGAATTAATTTTTGTATAAGGTGTAAGGAAGGGATCCAGTTTCAGCTTTCTACATATGCTAGCCAGTTTTCCCAGCACCATTTATTAAATAGGGAATCCTTTCCCCAAGTTCTCAAAGTTTCTAGAATGAAAAAGTAAAGCCTTAAATTTAAATCATTGGCCTGAGGTTTCCAAACCTCAACATTAGATGTAAAAAAAAAAAAGACTAATATAGCATCTAGTAGATAAAGGGTGAATTCTTTTGTAAATAATATCAATAATTGGTTTGCTATATGGAATACACAATAAAATTATAATCAAATTTCACAAAAATAAGCTTCAAGAATTGAACATATCTTGTGAAAACCAAAACAACCAAATTAGTAGAAAATATATTCTATCTCTTATTCCATAGAGAATATTTTTAAATAAGAACAAAATGCATTTATGATGTAAGAGAAAACCATGTATAACAGTACTATATGGAAAGTAAAGTTTTCTTCAAATATGGTCCCTTATTTAAAGTTAATAATACAGGCCGGGAGCAGTGGTTCATGCCTGTAATCCCAGCACTTTTGGAGGCCAAAGTTGGTGGATCACTTGAGGCCAGGAGTTTAAGACCAGCCCGGGAAACATGGCAAAACCTCAACTCTACAAAAAATTACAAAAACTGGTTGGTTGTGGTGGCATGCATCTGTATTCTCAGCTACTTGGGAGGCTGAGGCACAAGGATTGCTTGAGCCCGGGAGCCGGAGGTTACAGAGAGCTGAGATCACACCGCCGCACTCCAACCTGCTCAAGAGAGCGAGACCCTGTTTCAAAATAAAATGAAGTTAGTAGTAGAAAAGGTAGTTGCAATATCCAAAACTGACATAGGATTAAGATCTAGAATATAGCAGGAAGAAGGAGACCACATGGCCTAATGGATGAGGCATCAGACTTTGGATCACAAGATATAATATATGAGGAATTCTTACAAATTATGAAGAAATATGAAAACCAGAAAGAGAAATAGGGAAAGGATATGAATGGGCCATCTGTAGAAGCAAACACTATAAATTATAAATAAAAAGGTCAGCCACGGTAGTAATCAAAGAAGTGCAAATAAAAATCACAATGAGATACATTGCATGTACTTCATGTTTGCAAAAACTCTAATAGTATCAAGTGTTGGTGCAGATGCCAAGAAATGGAAATCCTCAGGCACTACCATTGGATGAAATCAGTGGCATTTGTTTTGGAAATAAAATCTATTATTTAATGAAATAAGGATATGTATATATCCACAATCCAAAAAATTCTGGAGAAGGCTTTGCTCAGGTACACAAACAGACATCTATAAAAATATTCACTGAAGTCCAGTAGGAGTAAAAAGTTGGAAACAATGTAGATGGAAGCCAATAGAAGACTAGAAAGTGGGCACTAAAAGGATAAGTCCAATATATTTATCAAAAAAAAATTCTAGTTTTATATGGAAAAAGTAAGAAAAGTAAGAAATATAATACATCTTAGGTAATTATATATGAAATTTATGCTATTTATATCTACATTTATAAGAATATATATACATTATAAGAAACAATGCCATATATTAATACATGAACACACACATAAATAAAGAAACTTAAGTGGATTGGCAGAATGTAAGCACAAAAGAGAAGGAAAGTATAAGGGAATGGAATCATGCTGGGAGCTGAAAGGCATGAAAGCAAATAAAATGTGTGTCATACATTGTTTGATAATATACTAAGGAATATACCTCAATTTAGTTGGGTTCCCCTGAAATCCTCCTTTTCAAATGATCACTTTCGGTGTGGGCAAGGGCATGAGTAAAATAAGCACTTATATATACTGGTGTTAGGTAACACTTTACCAGGACATAAACTCCAAACTTTAACATTTTACTTCCGTTTTTTGAAATGTAAGACAAACTAGTCAATTCCCAAGCCTATAATAATGTATAGGAGCAGACCTCATCACTTGGACTTAGAGGAGACTTTAAAAAATGTTGGCCTTACTCTTTATCAAGTTTCTAAGCTCTTCATTCAACAGATGTCTACTGAACTTCAGTTGCATATCACAAACTCTCTGAGAATGTATCCCTATCCTTTACTTATTTCCTTTCAATATCTCTGATTGCTCCATTTTATTTTTCAGAATTTTACCCCTAAATTTGAAAATCTCCAAACTCAATCTTTTTTTGTGGTAAAATACTCTTCAGATTAATTCTCCATTCTCGTAGATATTCTATATTTTCAAATTCCATATCCAAATTTATGTTTCTTTAATCTGGATAGTTATGCTTTCATATTATTCTACTACCTCAAACTCAACATAAATCAGTTGAATCTCATTACCTTCTCCCTCCAAATAGCTCCCATTGCTAATTCCCATTTGCTTCTGTGGATACATTGTCATCCCAACTGACCTCTTAAGATCTTTTTTTAATTGCATATTTGTTTTACTTTTTTCTTTCCTTTATCAATCACATCAATTCCCATTAATTCACAACTGTATTAGTTTCCTATTGCTGTTATTAACAAATTAACACAAATTTAGTGGCTTAAACTAACACAAGTTTATTATCCTGCAGTTCTGGAGAACAGAAGTATGAAATAGGTCTTACCAGACTAAAAGCAAGATGTCAACAGGGCTACATCCCCTTCTGAAGGTTCTAGGGAAAAATTCATTTTCTTGCCTTTTCCAGATTCTAGATGCTGCCCACATTTGTTGGCCCCTGGCCCCCTCCCAGCTTCAAAACCTGCAATGACTGGTTGAGTCTTCTTATGCTGCCATCTCTCTGACTATTCTTTTTCTATTTAAGAACCCTTGTGGTTATATTGATCTCACCTGGCTAATCCAAAAAAAGTTCCCGGACTAATTGATGAGCAACATTAATTCTATCTTCAGCCTTAATTCTCCCTTGCTATGTAACATAACATATTCATATGATATTAGTTTAGGGTTTGAATATCTTTGAGGAGCCACTATTCTACCTATCACAATATCCAGTTCGTTTCAATTCATATATCCCCCATGTCTTATTTACTGTTTTTCTTTCTTCACAATTTAAAACGAATTCTCTGCAAAAGCCTTTGCCCCCCAGGCACATCTAGGGTCCCCACCAGATATCTTGCATGTACTCAGAACAAGTCATGTTTTTTAACCTGTGCTAATATCCCTCTTTTCTTTTTCAGGCTTTTCACTTGAGTGCTGTACATGTGTGTCCTTCAGGTACTGATGAAGCCTCTACAGAGCTCTCTTCTCAGCCTTGCTCTGCCATTTCTGCTGCTACTGCAGCAGTGACACTGGAATCCCTGAAGCATCAAATCTTGAATTGGAGGAAAGTACTTCTTTCCATATTTTGTAATATGTCCTACTAAAGGATAGCAAAGCAGAGTTGTTTGCTCCCATCTTAGAAACTTTTAAATAAAATTTAGGTATTACTTTTAAACATAGGTCCACAGAGAAGACAAATCTAAGTGGCAAAAATAATGTGTATTCAGCGTCACTATTCCCCAAGGATGACAAATGTATGTTTTTTGCTGTAATATCTCCCAGTTGACTCCATCTTCTCTTCTATTGAATTTTCAACCAGAGAGCTTCTTAGTTCCTTATTCAAATACAGTTTTGGTAGACCTAACCAGTATTATATGTGCCTGATCTATCTAAATCTAATCAAGTTTGGTTTAAATGAAATCAAGTGTACTCACAGCCTCTCATACCTATTCCATTTTTACTTTTGTACAACCACAAAATTAGCCCAGAGTGGGGGAGTTCACTTGATAATTTGCTAAGTGCAATTGCCACCACCAGTACTCTATGATCCAGCCCCTCCCTACCCAACATGACATCATCGATTAAAATTCCTAAATCAATGCTATTTTTTACTTAAGAATGTATAGTATTTTTCTTTGACTCTTCAGATAAAGACCCTCAATCAATCTACCACTCAAATATCTTCCTAATATTTACTGTAATACGGTTTCCATTGTTCTTTAATTTTAGCTCTTACCTTTCTTCATCTCAGCCCTATATCACGAATATTCTTCCTTTTCAAATGGTCACATTATTTCTAAGTATCCACCACAATCTCTACCTTCTCTCAGAACAGTTGTGAAATTTTAAGTTGTATTTTTGAAAATTTGGTAAATCATTTGATGCTTAAATAATTGAATAAGGTCAGGCTGTGTTTAATAAATGTCAGCTGTGCTTTATGGTACGTAGGTAAAACACAATATGGCTTAAAGGTAAAAATCAAACAATTCACCCTAAGGTTAGCGTTACAATTTTTATTATCCCCTTAGGTTAGCAAACCACTGATAACAAACCCAGGTGTTACTTTGTCCTTTCTTGTTAGACTTAAACTCAGTAATTCCAGATTAAGTCTCATCCTGATATCGTCAAAAACCCAATTTGGCAATTCAATTATACTGCCTGCCTTTTTAGAAAAATTTCCCTTTGTCGATGGCATCACACTTCCAATCTCTTTTTCAATGGTTGCCTTCATCCTCCTACATGTGACTGCAACTCCTTCAAGCTACATCAAAAATACAGTTCTTTAATTTTCAGAATTTCTCCCAAAAGTTTTCCTTTATTTCATCCTTATTGCCTTGCTGAGTCAAATTACTGCTATATGTTCATTAATAAATCATGAAATAAGTTTATCTAAAGATAATGTGAACACTTTTTCATCAACAGGAAGAACAGGGACTATAATTCAATATCTAATAACTTCCTTGGAGAAAGAAGCATTTCTTCTCAAAGCTTTCCAGATGAAAAATGAGACATAATTTAAAAATTACAGAATTACTTTGGCAACAGAGAAAAAGAGCTTTAAGGGTTCTGAGCTGTCTACTCTGACGCAAGATTTTTAGAGCTCTCTCTTGAGAAAGAAACAGCACTTATATGGGGAGGGAGGGAACAGAGTGTTGCTGTAATTGTTGATAAAAGTAAATAATTCCAACGAAAGAACCAGGATTTAAGACATGGTGAGAAGACCAAAAGATGCGATATTTGGAGACCTAAAGTTAAGTTTGCCAATTCACTTGGTGTTATTCAGCAGTTTACATGCATTTAACTGTCCTAATGAGGTTGAAGAGGTAGACATCATACAAACCAAATATCCTGTTTGGGGGTCTCCATACCTGATCTGGCAAGATAGAGTTACTGAGCTGAAAGAAGTCATCTTATCACCATTTAAATTAATTATAAGACATGGAGGGTTATAAGGAAGGGACTTAAACTAATGATTCGGCTGGGCACAGTGGCTCATGCCTGTAATCCCAGCACTTTGGGAGGCCGAGGCAGGCGGATCACGAGGTCAGGAGTGGGAGGCCGAGGCAGGCAGATCACGAGGTCAGGAGTTCGAGACCAGTCTGGCCAACATAGTGAAACCCCATGTCTACTAAAAATACAAAAAAATTAGCCAGGCATGGAGACACGCCCCTGTAATCCCAGCTACTTGGGAGGCAGAGGCAAGGAGAATTGTTTGAACCTGGGAGGCGGAGGTTGCAGTGATCTGAGATCACGCCACTGCACTCCAGCCAGGACGACAGTGTGAGACTCTGTCTCAAAAAAATAAAAATAAAAAAAATGACTCATCATGACATCTAACCCTATTACAAAAGCCCTGTATATATCAGAAATCTTGATACCCACTGACAATTCTTCACATATAGTCCTCATCACCTCCCTGTTACAGACAAGGTAAAGCACTTCCTGCACAAAAATGACTTGTGCAAAATTTAAAATAGAATATATCTGAGGGCAGTCACCTGTGAACAACTCACATTTCTACTTTCCTTAGTCACTGAAAATTTTCAACACCCCACACTCTCTTTTCTTTTTCTGGGCACATGTACCACTACTGCTTTAGACTTCTCATGGTGGCCCTTCTCTCTATGAACAACACAAACCCCCTGCCGTGTCCACTGCCACGCAGGACCCTTTTCTGTTCATTATAAATTGTCTTAAGTACTAACCTTTCCCTCAGGACTTCATCTCTTTGCCTTATTATCTCTACTCTGAAAGTCCAGAGGACCAGAAGGTGGTCCCATAAAAACTCACAGTTGAGAATTTTTAAACATACAACACTCTAAAATATTTTCTGTGGCCTTGATTGATCTGATCCAGACTAGTTTGGAATCTGCAAAACCAGAATTGAACTGGGCACCAAAATTGAATCCTCTTGCTTTCTTTGGATTGTTCTTTGTGCAATAAAGAGATCACAACTGCAGTTTCCATGCTCCATAGAAGTCCTGAAATACAATAGGCTTCATTCTAAAGTTTTTTCTGTACCACCATTTCTAACATTACTAAACTTTGCTCCATTAATATAGAGACTGACTATATTAATCCATTTGCATTACTGTTAATATAAAGAAATACCTGAGACTGGGTAATTTGTAAAGAAAAGAGGTTTATTTGGGCATATGATTGTGCAGGCTGTACAGGAAGCATGATGTTGGCATCTGCATGAGGTGAGACCTCAGGAAGCTTACAATCATGGTGGAAGGTGAGGGGGAGTCAGCATGTCACATGGTGAGAGAGAAAGAGAGCAAGGCAAAAGGTCCCAGGCTTTTAAACAACCAGATCTGTGAACTAACTGAGCAAGAACTCGCTTATCACTAAGGGCATGGTACTAAATCATTCATGAAGGATCCATTTCCATGATTGAATCACCTCCCACCAGGCCCTACCTATAACATTGGGAATCACATCTCAGTGTGAGATTTGGAGGGGACAATCATCCAAACCATATTACTGACTAAAAGCCACCACTACTTACAAACCACTGTTACTTACAAACCACCATTTAGTGGTTTGGACCATGATCAGCAGGTCATAATAGAGGAATGGCACAACTACTCTCTGCCATTAATTAGAAGAGACATAAACCAGGAAAACTGCCCATATTTGGAGTTGATAAACACTGAAATTGTTATGGTGCTACTTCTCTTACCCAATATGGATTTCAAAATAGGTATATAATTAAATGGTGAAATAAATTTAATAAAATTTCAATGAGATTTTAATTTTTCTTAAAGAGTCACTTTAATAAATACATAAATTTTAAAATTTTTGATATTTTGAAATTTTTTTAATTTTTAAAATTTGATATTTTATTAAGAACCTTGGCATGGAACGTGTTTGGTCTACTTACTGAATTATGCTTCAGTACCCCAATTATAGTACCCACAAGTGGTCTTAAACTAAAGCATGGAGCATGTCCAAAGTGCTAGTAGCAAAACTTTACTACATTCTATTGACTGCTGGCTCCTCCAATTTCAACATCTTGTTATAATTACCCAGTACCATGTGAGAATGTCATTTGGTTAAAATATATTTGGTGCTAAATGATTCCATATATTTATTTAAATATGTAATTTTTCTCTTATAGACATGGATACATAATAAGTAGTCCTTTAAAGAACATATGGAGAAGGTAAATTTCTATCAAAGAAAAACAAAAGGAAGTAAAGTTAATACTAATAAATCTTGGATTTATTAGATAAAAATATGAGACTAACAAAGTGATATTATACTAATAAAATAAGTAAAATACAAAAGTTACATACAGGTGGTTTAAGAAACCTTAAAATATTTGACATTTACATTTTTATTAACTTTTTTTTGAGACAGGATTTTGCCTATAACCTGGCTAGAGTGAATTACAGCTCACTGCAGCTTCGACCTCTGGGGCTCAAGCAGTCCTCCTAACTCAGCTTCCTAAGTAACTGGGACTACAGGTGTACACCACCATGCTTGGCTAATTGTATTTATTTTTTGTAGAGATAGGGTCTCACTATATTGCCCAGGCTGGTCTCAAACTCCTGAGCTCAAGCCATGCTCCCACTTTGGGCTTCCAAAGTGTTGGGATTACACACATGAACCACCAAGCCCATCCTATTAATTTTTATTATAGGTGAAAATCATATAGAACCAAAAAGCTATATCAAAAAGCCACGATTTTCTGTACCACCTGTTTCTAACACTAGTCTCAATCCTCAGAGGCAGCTGCTTTCAACGACTTTCACTGTTTTTCTAGCATTTAGCTCAGTGTTTCTAGATAACATGTTTATACTCCAATGTCTCAACAATCAACCCATCACCTACTGAATACTTCTGGTTGTTGAGGGCTTATCTAAATCACCACCTTCCCCAATTTTTCCTCAGCTGCACATCCTCCTAATATAGTTATAAAAGAATCTTTAGTTAAATTAAAAGTGTTTACACTATAATTCCATGTAAAATTTGTTTACACTAAGCCAACTAGTCTATTAGAGCTGTATTTCTTTTAGCATATCACTCTTAGCATTTTCTTAATATAATAATCTGTGTCTTCCTTCTGTTATCATTCTATATTTTCATTGGTAATTTTTTCAAGAAACTAGAATAGATCTATTGCATGCTTTTTATTCATTCCGTTGTGTGTAGGCAGTGGCTCTTCAAACTGGGGTCATATCCATCAATTATGAGAAATTTTATTTTATTATTTCTTTTATAATTCTGCATCTCTCCCACCCCATTTCTTCTATTTCCTTTTCCTATAACAGGATTGGAATTAATCCCAGGTTGGATTTCCTATATTAAACTTTATCTTTTTTGTTTTTATTTATAATCTTCCAAAAATTCCATTACATTACATTATTTTATTTAATCATCTATTTTATGCTTTGTTCATATTTTTAAGTTACAGTCTGTTGCCACTTAAAAAAGAGAAATATCCAATGTGAACCTTGGAAATGTTATGCTCCGTGAAAGAAGCCAGACACAGAAGGATATATTTTTAAAGCTAGACAAGTATTATATTCCATTTATATAAAATGTCCAGAATAGGCAAATCCATTAAGACAAAAAGTAGATTCATGGTTGCCCCAAAATTGGGGTGAGGGATTGGGGCTGACTGCTAGTGGATATAGGGTTTCTTCTTGGAATGATATTGGAAATGTTCTGGAATTAGTGGTAAGGTTTGCACAACATAAAAAAATACTAAAAACCACTGAATTGTACACATTACAATGGTAAATTTTATTTTATTAATTATATCTTGATTTTTTAAAAGCATAGAAACTCTCAAACTATATTGACTTAAAAATGGAAAATAACCAATGAATGTTGACTTACCAGTAAAAAAGCCATCAGTGTATAATTTGTGATACAGAAATATAATGCTTAATGTCTATGTTTAATGACTAGACTATTGCATGCATGATGTTAAAAACTTGTATTTTAAGTTCATTGGTAAGATTCATATTTTATAAACATTTTCTAAAGTTTTGTAAAAAGCACACATTTCTCTACATAAAAGTTCATGCATACAGTTTGAATGTCACCATTCTTATGACTCTACTATCATATTTAAGAAATATGCTTAAACTATATTATAGCAAACATTTTTAAAAATTGTGTTTCATCTTAGCATCCATATACTAATATAATTAATTTTGAAATATTAATTTCAAAGCAAAGAAAATGCCATAATGCAAACTTGGTATTTAATGTGAGAAAATTAAATAAAATTAATCACTTAAACAATATTTATCATTTACAGAGTTATCTATTTCTGTTCAACTTCTCACATAGTTGTATACATGTGCATGGAAAACTAGTGGATTGTCAGGCAAGACACAGCCATTGGGAGCACAACAATCTAACAGCATTAGCCTGTCATTTGATTGTGCCCTAGCTGAAACCTCCATTAAAACATTACAGAATAAAACTCACAGAAATGTCAATACTATAACTCCTAAGTTTATAGGCCCTGAACCAGAAAGAACACTGAGCATTAAATTAAAGGAGGGGGAATTCTTGGCATTCAATAGTATATTCTCTGTTCTGAGAAATGAGATGTAGGAGGTCAGCTAAGGGGATCAAAGATAAATCATTAAAAGGATTACTGCTTTCTCTAGTACCAAGGCATTTGCACACTCTCAGTCTGTTTAAATAAAGATGCCTGAAGATGTTATACAAAACGTTTAAGATAAGCTACAGTATTCATTTGATAAATTCTCTTGATAAGTAATAAATTAAATGTATCAGCCCCTTTCCTATTCCCACAAGTAGCTAAAGATCATTTTTATTCAAAGAGAAAAACAAAGTGCTAATATTTAAATTATTTTCAGTTGTTTCAGAGTCCCTATCCTATTTGATGGCTTAGAATATAAAAATAGACCAGATTTGGTCTGAATAATAATAGACGGTTGGTGTTCTAATCTATGATCTTTCTGCCTTCATGAGAACTGCATAAGAAAACTAACTACTTCCCCATTCACTGCTTATAAACCATACACATCCTTTAAATTTTGACATAATACAATTAGATTTCTAAAATGGAAAGCACAGAGACTGTGTCACTTTCAAGTTCAAAAAGATGTACGTCTTTGATCTCTGCGATGAAAGCTGCTGAGACTTCATTCCCCACAACTCACATCTTCAGAGTCCTCACTTTCACTTTCATCAGGACAGTTATCCTCCAATATTGTTGACAATTTAGGAACACCACAGTAGCTGTCTTGGAGGGTCTGGGCTCTGCATCTAGAAACAATGCAAAGCAATTTCTTCCAACACATAGAGAAAATATTCAGCTAGGCATTTAGAAACTAGTTCCCTCCACTAAAAGAATTCGGTGTCATTAATCTTTGAATGCCTTATAAGAAGCAGGACATTTTTCAATAATTCAGTAAATTACAACAGTTCTACTTCCAGATTAAGAAGACACAAAACTAATACAGATGGTTTTGCTTTTGAAAACATTAGCAAAAAATTGCAAGTTTTCAGCTGAGCTTCCGGTTTATAAGGCCCAATATTTCTTTCCTTTCTCAAATATAAAGAAATATGAGTCTTATAGAAGCAAAAGAAGTTTAAGGTACAGTACGTTCCAATTCATAGTTCCAAATTTTTTTCTGAAATTATTTTTCCATCAGTTTTCTGTCAGAAGAAGCAGTGCGTTTACATTGACGAATCAAGATTACTTCATGAGTAGATAAAACATGGCATTCTTTTTCAACTATTCTGGCAATCAGCATAAACAACAGACCCCAGTGAAAGATGAATTTTAGGTTTCAACTTCAGAAAAGCCAAGGATCTGTCCAAAATATTGGCAGCCACAATAAAAGTTTCTGGAGAAGATTCAAAAAAAGTTAGTTAAACCTCTTAGATCTTAATATTTTTTATATTTGATACAAAATGTTATCATTCTCAAGAGTCGCTCTATCAAGCTCATCTCTTAGTTCTCATAGTTGGATTTTCTATTCCTGTTTTAGGTAGAGTCTCAACAGTTCAGATAACTGGACCCATTCCAGACTGCTAAGACCTACAACCCCAAATTCTTCACCAGGTGGGAGATGTAATGTCTGACCAAGAGAGGACTGGGTGCAGAGGAATATGATAGACTCTTTCCTGTGTCAGGGACCTGCCAGCTCAGGCATCCAACCCTCCACTGCCATTGCCATGTCCTCCTCGGGTTCATAGTCCCAACTTCATGCAATTGCCTATACCCACACTCCCACTTGCAGTACCTTCTCTTCCATACTACTGGTCTCCTGGCAGCTGTAGGCCATGCCATTGCCAACAGGGGCTGAAGCAAACTTCTTCTTGTTCACTGTATTTTTAGTTTCCAAAAGCTCTAGTTCTCTTATTGTCCTTTTTACATAAGACCCCATTTCTGTTTTAAAGAAAGATTCTCTTCTCTTATCTCCTTGAGGATATTAACTATGGCTTTTTAGTTTGCTTCTTTTGCTCCATTGACTGCCTTTGTTTTTGTCCAGGTTTTTTTTTATGATTATTTTTGTCTGTCACCTAAGTGTCTTTCCTCAAATGTCTACTAATAGTCAGAGATTTGTTCATATGTGAAAATGAGAAGTTGATTGGAAGATGAGCATTGATGTGTGTTGGTAAGGGGAGGGTATAAACTTTGCTATCCAGGATTCTAGGAGGAAGCAGGAGAAACAGCCTATTAGTCTTGCATTTAAATATGTAGATTTTTGCATAATCCTACTATTCTTAGTCCTTGAACTCTGCCCTACTTTATGCGATGCCTGTAGTCTCTGAATCCAGAGGCTCTTTGTCTTAGTTTCACTAGGCTAAGCCTCCTATTTCCTCTGATAGATGTGGGTGGGGTAGCTTTCTGACTGCTCAGGGAAGTGGTGGGGACTAGGAAAGTTCAACCACTTTGTATATAGATTTTCAACCAATCATATTGTAATCACAGACCTCACCCCATGTTCCAAGCATTCAGCAAGGCAAATTAGATCAATTCTTATAGGTATCCCATCTCCAGCAGGCATTTGTTTGGATTCCTATTACTTCTAGGCTGCTAAATCCATAGTATCTTCTTCATTAGTTTGCTCTTTTTCAACTTTTTTTTGAAATCCTTCATGCACTATTGTCTATGTTCTCTTTGTCCTTATGTGTTGTCTTTTATTCTTATTGATACTTTTATGAAGCTTGTAGAGAGAAGAGCTGATGGACAAGAACAATCAATCTGCCAAATTTAAGTGTATGGGCTCAATAGTTAACTGTCGATATTTTTAAAACATTGGACAACGTTATAAGTTGGGATATATGGTTTGAGACAATGTATAATGCCATATATCATATATAGTATTAGAATATACTTTTGGTTTTACATTCAAAATATAATCAGAATTTGAACCAGCTAGCAGCCAGCATCCTAATCCAGTGACATCATTTGAGACAAAGCACCACCATCTATTATGTAGATTGAAACAATGTTGCAAATGACAGAAGCCAATCTGAATTTACCTTGATACCTGAAGTCTAGCCAATAGCTGACTTCAGTTCCATACTATACTTGTGGGCATTTGGAAGAGAGATCCTGTCTAATGCTGTTCTAGTCAATGAGTAAATGCCTAGGAGTCATATTAAGTAATAGACTTTCGGTTTCCCCCCAAATTTAAATCTGACCTAACAATTCATTTGCCACCTTAATATGTGCTCACCAGCCTTTCAATTCCCATCCAGGGCTGCCTTCTATGATTGGAGTCTATACCATTGACAACATTGCATATATAATAAGAAAAAGGGGGTACAGAATGTAGGAGAAGAAAGCTTCCTCAACCTCTGCTGGCAGGAACTATCTTGGCTGATGTATAGAACCATCTTGGCTTGTCTAAACATTAGTGCAGTAACCTTTTGTTGAGTAATCAGCCTCCTGTAGCTTATTGTGTATCTATAGTTCTAAAATGTGAACCACAAGATCCTGAGAACAGATAACTGATGCAAATACCAAGATTAAGACCTAATCCCTTCACAGACCACAAGCACAGTTAATGCAACTGGTAGAATATGTTCCGGGAACATGTGAAATACCACTTTGAAGACTCTCAGAAGTGAGACTAATGCTTTTTTCATAGGTGAGTGGTTAATAGCCCCTGTGTATAGATGAACATGTCGCCTTCCCTTATTTCTAACCCTATTTCTCTAACCACAAACAGGAGAAGCCTCCCAACAATTAGGTTATACCCATTCTCCCATCCCACTCTTTTTTCTACATAGTCTAAAAGTTCATTCATGTGTAAGCTCCATGCCATCTTGTCCCAAGCTACCTACTATTCCATCAGCACATCCTGTTTTTTTATCCCTTTCCCTTTTACATTCTTATTCTTAATATTAAATAGTACCCCCACTTTATCCTTATAAATGCTTTTTGCCTTGTCTGATATTAACTTAGTTATATCAGCTTTCTTTTGGTCATTTCAAAAAGTGGTATACATATCCTCATCCATTTCTGTGTGGCTTTAATTTAGGCAAGTAGGTAATTTAACTTGGGTATTGCATGTAAGCAGCATGTGGCTAAAATTTTATTCTTTTTATCCATTTTGATAAAATTTTATATTTTATCTAATCTGGTAAAATCTGCCAGGTGAAATTAGTCCAATTGTATTTATCATGGTACTGACATTTTAGAACCTTACAACAATCTTATTTTGTGGTTTCCATTTAATTGAAGTTTTCCTTAGATTCCATCTTTGTTATCCACTTGATAAACAGTTTTATGCATCCTTTTTTCATCCATGATGACAAACTATATTTTTATAATTTTTTTGGTGGTTTCCACTAAAATTTTCACATGAATACGTCACTATAATTTTTAACAAAATTTAATAGCATTTCCACCTCCCTTCCCAACCCATCACACCACCTTTCACAATCCTTTTCTGCACCATAGTATTGTTTAGAGTTTCATTTTATCTTTTATTTTAAACAAATTTTAAACACACTTTATGGACTTTAATTTTTTCAATTTGCTAGTCAAATTCCAGCAAAAACTGTACTGTACAAGTGCACACTATACAAACTGTACATTTACTGTACATGCACATTATACAAACAAATATACATACCACATACTATGCTGTTCTTCACTTCTGTGGATTTGTCCATGCTGGGCCCATCTAGAATGCTTTTCTTTCTCTTCCCCACTTCTCCTACCTCCATTCTTGTTATTCACTAATGAACTCCTCATCATCCCTTAAGAAGCATTTCTAGCTTCAACTTTTATAAGCAGTTTTCTCTGATCAGATGCCACTAGCACATTGCTGGGGCTTCCACAGTTCTTTATATTAAATAATTACATAATCAAATAGTGATTTCATACACTGGACAAATAGTCACATGCAGGTAGTGAATGCATAATTTGTGTTATATACTCTCAGGGCCTGGCACAGTGCTGACATATAGTAATTTCTCAATATGCGCTTGTTGAAAGAAAGAATAAATGAAAAGAACTATGGGCTTGCTTAAGGGTAAAAAGTAATTAGACCCAAATACTTTCAATTAAGATTAGTGGTTATCTACAGCTTCAGAATTAGCCAACCATGAGGAACCCAAGTGAGACTTTAATAAATAAACTAGGATTTAAGACTTTAATCGGAAAATAATACTGAAACAGAGAAAGTACAAAATAGAATGTTTGTGTGGGTGTGTGTGTGTACAGACACACGTAGACATATGCATTTTATTTTGTTCAATTTTTTAAAAATATAACTTCTCACCAGGTTGTGAGGCAAAGCTGGTTCTAGAGATACAATTGATAGGGCCTAAATCAAGGATGGAAGAGGGGAGCTCGCAAAGTAACACAGGTAAATAAGAAAACATTAATGGGACTTCACTGAGAAATATCTTTCATTTTTAAAAAGATATAATGACACATAAACATTTGTAAAACAAAAGATAGAGTCAAGAAAAATATGAAAAACAGCAAAAATTTAAAGAAAGAGAACATGGATATGAATATTAGGCCATGACCATTGAAATCTAACCTTAAAATAGCTGCAGAAAACATCTGAATATTGGAGAAAATTGATAGTCAACATTATAACATTAAGATATCTTTAAATTATGTAAAACTAAAAGTAACAAAAATGAAAATGAGAAAAATTACATTTGGTGTCAAAGAAGCTGAAGCCAATATTGTGATACGTTCTACTAAAAGCCTTAAATTTCAGTAATACTCTGTCTGCTCAATGCCATTGTGTGGAGAAGCACCCTAATGCATAAGCTTTTTAATGCTGTAAAATATAGTAGCTGAAATTAAATGCCACTTTTTCAGAGGTGAATTAGTGAACAGCCTGGTGAAATTGAAAAGCTTTTTGATATATAAACTTGATAAATGGGACTATTCTATCGATAAGCAAAAATGTAGCAACCTATCTAGATGGATAGTATGTAATTTCAGCACAGGTCTCTGTTTAGTAAATACATCACTGTATACTGATCAGGAATCTTGCTCCAATAAAGTAAAAGATTTTTTTTGGAAAAAAAAATTCCCAAACTTCAAAAGCAAACAGTCAACTATCAGCAAATCAAATTTTAGAAAGCTTCAAACTGCCAATGATAGTGGAGTGACATATTCAGAACTCTTAAAATGAAAGCGTGTGCTATTGTGAATAGTGCCACAACAAACATACGCATGCATGTGTCTTTATGAAAGAACAATTTCCATTTCTTTGGACATTTACTCAGTAATGAAATTACTGGGTCCAATGGTAGTTCTGTTTTTAAGTCCTTGAGGAATTGCCACACTGTCTTTCACAATGGTAGAACTAATTTACACTCCCACCAATAGTGTGTAAGCTTTCCTTTTTCTTTGCAACCTCACCAGCACCTGTTATTTTTTGACTTTTTAATAATAGCTATTCTGACTGGTGTGAGATGGGATCTCATTGTGATTTTGATTTGCATTTCTCTGATGATCAGTGATGTTGAGCTTTTTTTGCATATGTTTGTTGGCCTTCTGAACTTAAAAGTTAAAAAAAAAAAAAAAGCATGTGACCCAGGACTGCTAGAGTATACTCTCAAGTTGTCCCTACTGCATGGTGGCTGCAGGGGCCTTTCTACTATATACCAACATCCAACATCTTTTCCATTCAAATATCTTTCTTCAGAGAACAATAGGGAATGGTATCTAGAATACCAATGACTGAAGGATTACAGGAAAACTCTGAATAAAATCTTTGGATGTCCTGTAAACTCACTTTAGTGATATGCAAATAATAGCAAGAAGGAGAAGATAAAAGAATTGTCATTAAAAAAGGGTAAAATACAAACACCAAGAAGAAGCAGTGGTTGCTGTGGATTTTAAATAATTACAATAATTTTTGGATCAAAGCATGCTTTCAAAAATGTCAGCTCTTCACATATAAGTCATAAAAAATGAGAAAGAAGAGAGACAGAAAAGATAAAAAGCATAAAACATTTGATGTAAAAACGGTCCAAAAGTATTAGGATTGTTTAGGCAGATGCAATTTTTTTGTATTAATGTCATTCGACAAATATCTTTTGTGTATTTACATGCCAGACCTAAGGCGAGGAACAGCACTAGCCAATAGTAATACAGTGATGAACAAGGAAGAAAATCCCAACTGCCCTCTCAAGAAAGATAAAAATTGATAGAAACAAACACAAGCAGCAAAGTAAAGCAAAAGATACCCAGAATGCAATGGAGCATGAAAGAAAGAGACTCAATATTTCTAGCATTACAGGTTAGACCTGAAGACATTTTTATTTTGTTTATATGAAATTTCAGAAATAGAATAGTTACCTCCTGAGTGATACTAAAATGTGAAAGGAAAACATAATTAGGAAAAGCATCAAAATCTTATCCTCTGTCCTGCAACCTTCATTGCCTTAGGAAACTCCTTTAAAACTTACCTCAAGCATCATCTTACCTCTCTTTTCTCTCAATTTCACAACACATCTACAAATACACATGCCCTAGGGTAATTTCTACATAGCCATGCTGCCAACCACTTATCACATTTATAGTTACTAATCTTAATCTGTAGTCTCCAGGATCCACAAGGCTTCTTGAAGAAAAAAAGTATGTGTTATTCTACTTCACACCACCAGTGTCTGCACAGCCTCTAGCATATTCCAGACAATCATAAATGCTTGTTAAATAAATGGATGTTTGAATGAATGAGTAGCTCTTAAAGAAGAGATTTAGAGTAGTATCCAAAGTGTAATGGCCAGTATAGCTCAACCTGATATACCTCGTCTGAACCCCCTGACTGCATTTTTTTACTCTGCCAACTTTCTTAGCTCTAGCCACACTGGCCACCTCACTGCTTTTCAAACACACATGGCACACTCCTCCCCTAGGTCATCTGCACTAGCTGTCCATTATCTTCCAGGTTTTTGTAGAGTGCATTTTCTCATTTTCAAGTCACTTTCTCAACGCCCAGCTTGAACATTCTACTTCAGATATGCCCATCCTCCTACAGATTTCTCATATCCTGCTCTATTTTTTAAACTTTTATATTCAGTCACCTTCTAGCATACTATGTTATTTATTTATGTGTTATGTTTATTATTTACACATATCTTCACACACCCCCATTAGAATGTAAGCTCCAAGAGACTTATATTTTTTCACAGGCATGCTTATAACAATGACTGGCACATTATAGATTCTCAATAAATATTTTTTTCATGAGTGAATCCAAAAAGAAAGTATAACACAATTAAAACAAGATGTGTTTACAAGCCATAGATGTAGCATTAAAATTATAACATTGAAAATAAAGTACTTATTTTATTTAATAAAATTAAATAAATTAACCAAGCAGGTGAAAGATCTCTACACTGAAAACTATAAACATTGATGAGATCAACTGAAGAAGACACAAATGAATGGAAAGACATCCTATGTTCATGGATTGGAAGAATTAATATTGTTAAAATGTCCTTATGACTCAAAGTGCTCTATAGATTCAATACAATCTCCAGCAACATACCAATGACATTCTTCACAGAAATAGAAAAAACATTCCTAAAATTCATATGGAGCCATAGAAGACCCTGAATAGACAAAGCGATCTCGAGCAAAAAGAACAAAGCTGTAAACATCACACTATCTGAATTCAAAATATACTACAAAGCTAAAGTAACGAAAACAGCATGGCACTGGCATTAAAAACAGACACATAGACCAATGGAACAAAATAGAGAACAAAGAAATAAATCCATCCACTTACAGCCAATTAATTTTTGACAAAGATTTCCAGAACACACAATGGGGAAAGGACAGTCTCCTCAATAACTGGTGTTGTGACAAATGGATATACATATGCAGAAGAATGACATTATGCCCTTATCTCACACCATATAAAAAATTAACTCAAAATGAATTGCACACTTAAATGTAACACCCGAAATTATGAAACTACTAGAAGAAAACATACAGGAAAAGCTCCATGACATGGGTCTGGGTGATGACTTTTTTAATATAACCCCTAAAGCACAGGCAACAAATCATAAAATACAAATCAAATTATATCATGCTAAAGCTTCTGCCTAGTAAAGGAAAATATCAACAGAGTGAATAGAGAATCTACAGAATGGAAGAAAATAGTTGCAAACTATTTATCTTATCGGGGTTAATACGCAAATTATATAAGGAATTAAAAAAACTTAATAGCAAGAAAACAAATTACCTGATTAAAAAATGGGCAAAAGACCTCGATAGACTTTCTAAAAAATAAACATGCAAATGACCAACATGTATATGAAAAAAATGCTTAACATGATTAATCATCAGATAAAATGCATATTAAAACCTCTCACCTGTTAAAATGACTATTATCAGAAAGACAAAAGATAAGTGTTGGCAAGATTGTGCAGAAAAGGAAACCTTTGCACACTGTTGGTGGGAATGAAAATTAGTACAGCCATCATGAAAAACAGAATGAAAATTTCTTTAAAAATTAAAAATATAATTACCATATGATCCAGCAATCCCACTACTGGGCATATTTGCAAAGGAAATAAAATCAGTAACTTGAAGAGACATTTGTACTTTCATGTTTGTTGCAACACTAGTAACAATAGCCAAGATACGAAATCAACCTAAGTGTCCATCAACAGATAAATGAATAAACAAATGTGGTACATATACATAGTGGAATACTATTCAGGCATAAAAAAGAAGAAAATCCTGTACTTTGCAACAGCTTGGATGAACCTGGAGGACCTTATGTTAAGTGAAATAAACCAGGCACAGAAATACAAATACTTTGTGGTCTCATTCATACATAAAATCTAAAAAAGTTGATCTCCTACTAATATAGCATAGAATGGTGGCTACCAGGGCCTAGGGTGGTTGGAGGGTGGGTGGGATGTTGGGGAGATGTTGATCAAAGGTTACAAAATTTTAGTTAAAAGGGTGAAAGAAATTCAAGAGATCCGTTGTACAATATGTTGACTATAGTTAATAATATATTGAATTTTTGAAAAATCCTGTGAGTAGATGTAAAATGTTCTTACCACAAAAATAATACCTATGTGATATAATGCATATGTTAATTAGCTACAGATAGTCATTTCACAATGTGTATATACTTCAAAACGTCACGTTGTATTAATACATGGCAAATACACACAATTTTATCTGTCAACTTAAAACAATTTAAAATTATAACGGAATGCCAACGTTTCAACATTATTTATCTAAAAATATAAACTCCATGCAGAATTTAGAAACTTAAAATTGTAAAGGTACAAATTTTTCAAAAAAAGTTAAGCCTGGATTTCAATTCTTCCAGGACTTTTCAAGTTTAAGTTTCCCTTCCCACCTACATCAATTTTGTAATGACCTGGGAACCCCATTTCTCCTCTTCTTAAAACACTGACTACAAGTATAGTATACTATAGTATAGTATAGTATAGTATAGTATAGTATAGTATAGTATAGTATAGTATAGTATATGGTAACGCACTCTGCTAAAATTTCTCAAGAAAATAGCTACAAAGGAAGATGTATTTACTAACAAACTATGTCTGTTACTTTCATGATTAGAATTTATTCCTAGGTCAGGTAAGTCTCAAGCAGAAGGTGAATGACAGGGAGTTGGAAATGGATTTGGGGAATAAATAAGTAAGTAGGATGGGGGTTAAGGACTCATCAACCTTTGGATAGTCAGGTTTACACTAAAAACAAAAAGACTACTTTTTCCAGGCACTAAGTTCTCTGCAATTAGTAATAGGTGCTATGGCATTGTGTGAAATGAGGAGGCAGGACAGAAACAGCAGAAAGGCAGAGGTGACTGTATTAGTTTGCTAGGGCTTCCTTAACAAACTACCACAAACTATTCACCTTAAACATAGGTATGTTTATTGTCTTACATTTCTGGAGGCTAGAAGCCTAAAATCAATACGTGGGCAGGGTTGGTTCTTTCTGAGAGCTGTGAGTGAAAGATCTGACCCAGGACTCTCACCCTGGCTTACAGATGGCCATCTTCACGTTCCTGCGATGTTTTCCCTGTACCTTTACACAGTCTTCTCCCTGTATATATATTTGTGTCCAAATTTCCCCTCTTAAGACCCCAATCATATTGAATTAGGAACCACCCTCACGACTTCAGTTTAATTTGCTTAACTCAGTGAAGACTGTATCTCCAAATAAAGTTGCATTCTGAGGCACTGAGACTTAGGATGTCAAAATACAAAATTTGGGGCAGGAGGTGTTATAATTCAACCAATAACAGTAACTAAAGCCATTTTGCACACCTATGTTCCAAGAACTTTATATTTTGTCTCATTTCATCCCCTCAGTTTTTAAGGAGAATCACTTTTTGATAACAGAGATCTGAGGCTTATTATTGTGCCTGGCCAAGCGTTTTATTCTGCACAATAATACACTTGACCTCCCTTGAGTGTCTGTAGTAGGCAAGTCACTAAAGTAGAAATAGAAGACATTCTTAATGAAGTATGAGAACCATATATTTAAAATTTTCTCACCACAAAACTTTCAATGGAAAATAAAAATTGATATTGTAACTTGAGGCACTAAATTCAAGGATTTTTTTAGAAATCAAATCCTGAAGCCCATGGTATATTCTTCTAATATTTGTAAAATATTCACATTTTGTTTTTTCTCTGAATAAAGTGCAGTCTGTTTTGAGTCCCCATCCCGTAGGCTGGCAGGTAGGGCTGGGGCTGGTGTGAGTCAATAGAGGCACCTGCCCTTTCATGAAAAATTCAAGAGACACCAAAAAATTCAATAGTCAAGATAAATTTTATTTTAATGTTATATTTTAAAAAATAAAAATTGATCCAAAAACTTTATGTTGAACAAAATATAAAACATTTAAATATAGACAAGATCAGTATGACAGATTTTTCTTTTGCTTCAGTCTCCAATATAGCTCTGTCCATCACTCTTCCTGATTCTGTCTTCATCTACAATATTTTGTTCATTTTGGATCTTTTAAAATTAATGTTAACATTTATATATTAAAATATTATTCATTTGATTGCTAAAGGTGGGGTTTTTTTGGTGCTGCTTTAAATATTATGCATGGGTGTGTGCCTTACTTGCCTCATTGTGACTGTAACCCAGCTGGCAGGACATTCAATATTAATTGTTCAGGGACTGGGCTTTCCTCTGCCAATGATTGATCCCACAGGGGCCTGGAGATCTCACACAAGTCAGAATATTTGGAGTATGGCCTCTGGTCTTCAATTCACAATGGTTACTGTAATGAAGTATCATTATTATGAAAACATTCTCTATTATTTGCTATGTTAAAAAAAAGGGGGGACAAAAATCTTTCTCAACCCTACACTCACCACTAGTTACTGCCCCATAACTCTGTTTCACTTTGAGGTAAAAATCCTCAAAAGGGCCATCTCACAATTATTAAAACCACATTCTCAATTTCGTTTTCTTTTCTTTTCTTTTTTTTTTTTTTTTTTTTGAGACAAGGTCTTTCTGTTGTCCAGGCTGGAGTGCAGTGGCATGGTCACGGCTAACTGTACCCTGGATCTCCTGGGTTCAAGTGATCATCCCACCTCAGCTTCCTGAGAAGCTGGGACTACAGGCCTGTGCCACCATGCCTGACTAATTTTTTTTTATCTTTTTATTTTTTGTAAAGTCAGGGTCTCACTCTGTTGCCCAGGCTGCTCTCAGACTCCTGGACTCAAGCAATCTGCCCGACTTAGCCTCCCAAAGCACTGGGATTACAGGTGTGAGCCACCATGCCTGGTCCTCATTTTTCATTTTCTCTTCAAACCAGTCCAATTTGGTTTTTCTCCACCATTTCATGTTGTCAAATCCAGTGACTGCATGTTTGCCCTCATTTTATTCAACATAGTTTATTATTTCCCATACTTGATTACAGTTTAATTTCTTGGCTTCCATGTCACTATGTTCTTCTGACTTCCCACCCACATCCTTGGCCAACCTGTTTCAGCCTTTTTTGTTGGCCACTTTACTCTTATTATAGTTCTAAATGTATTCTAGGGCTCAATCCTTTGCCATCTTTTCTGTCTATATCATTCCCCAAAGAGCCTCAAGAAGTCTCAAGACTTCAGATGCCACTTATGTACTGATGATTCTGTATCACCAACCCTGGCCTCTTTCCTGAGCTCTTTACTTATAAATCCAATTACTCATTTGACATTTCTATTTAGAAATGTCTTAACCTATGGATAAAGACTCTTAACCTATGGACAAAGCAAGTGTTTGCTTTTTCCTCTCAAACCTGTTTCACCACTAATTTTCCCCATTCTTAGTAAATGGCATCACCACCGCCACCCAGTTGCTCATTCTAGCCGTCATGCTTGCTTCCTCTTTTTCTCTTACAGTACACGGTCCACCTACATGTACTGTTGACACTACCTCTAAAATCACAAATCTAACTACATCTCACCGTCTCCAAAGCTAAAGCCCTAGCTAGTCCAAATTACCATAATCTCAGACTAGGACTATGGAAGTAGCCCCTTAGTAGGTCTCCTAGCCTCCAGCCCAAATCCGTATCTCTGCTAGCTTTCAGAGTGATCTTTCCAAAGTACAAACTCAGATCACAGCACTTCTCTGCTTTTCCTTGGGCTTTGACTATAAATCCAAACTCCTTCTTATGGAGTATTAGGCTTTATATGATCCAATACTTTACTACCTCCCCAATCTCATCTCCTAACATTCTCTTCATCCTAGGGAAACTTTTTTTTCCCTTGAACACACCAAACTCATCGGCACTTCAGGGCCTTATTTACTAACTGTTTCTTGTATCTGGAATGCTCTTTCTCCTCTGCTTTGCCTCATTTAGGTCTCAGATAGAATGTCACCACCTGTAAGAACTTTCCTATTCACTCTCTGCTCGTACTATTTATTTTTTCTTCTTTTTAAAATGATTTAACTAAATTATCTTATTTGTTTACTTGATTACTATCTCCTACCACTATAAATTGAACTGTTTGGGGCAGGCAATTTGTGCATACTGTTCTTGGACGTATCTCTTGAACCTGGAACAATGTCTCATAAAACTACTCAATAAATATGTGTTGAATGAACGAATGGTTAAATTGATAACTGTATGAATTAATAAATTAATTATTCAAGCCCTTATGGTCCCTTGAAGGTGATATCTCTGAAACCTGGGAGTCATATCTGGGATTAACAGCCTGGGTGCCCGGTGTTTGCCACACAGACACTCTCCTCTGAGGGCCCAGAATCTCCCCAGGCAATTGCTGCCAGAAAACAGGGAACATGGCTCTATGCCCTCAGAACCAGAAACACTCTTCCCTTTTCTGTCTTGGAAGAAACTCTCAAAAGTTTCCTTTTCCACTCTAGGTGGGCCTATATCTATTAGAACCTACTCAAGAAAACTCACATACACATGCACACACACACACACACACACACAGATAGGTAAGTGTATTAGTCAAGGTTCTCTAGAGGGACAGAACTAATAGAATAGAGTATACATGAAGGGGACTTCATTAGGAGAGTTGACTCATGTGATCACAAGGTGAAGGCTGTCTGCAAGCTAAGGAGCCAGGAAGCCAGTCCAAGTCCCAAAACCCCAAACGTAGGGAAGCCTATAGTGCAGCCTTTGGTCTGTGGACAAAGGCCTGAGAGGCCCTGGCAAATCACTGATGTAAGTCCAAGAGTCCAAAAGCTGAAGAACTTGGAGTCTGATCTTTGAAAGCAGGAAGCACCCAGCATGGGAGAAAGATGGAGGCCGGAAGACGCCAGTCTAGTTCTTCCACATTCCTCTGTCTGCTTTGATCCTAGCTGCGCTGGCGGCTGATTAGATGATGCCCACCCACACTGAGGGTGGGTCTGCCTCTCCTAGTCCACTGGTTCAAATGTTAATCTCCTTTGGCAACACCCTCACAGACACACCCAGGGACAATACTTTGCATCCTTCAATCCAATCAAGTTGACACTCAATATTAACCATCACAGTAAGGTTCAGATTCTGAATTTAGTTCTTCACAATTTCTGCCTCAGACTATGAGACAACAAAGATAAAATCTTGCCTGACTTATTGGAATTGAGCTGGAGGGTTCTCTTTTATTCTATCAGATCACTTTATTCCACACAACTTAGATCATATAGACTTACTGTATTATTTTTCTTTTAATATCTCAGAAGAATTTTGTCAACTGTGGGTCATATTAACTCCTCAGTATATTTGACAAAATGTTTTTAATATTCTTGCTCTTATTCAAATTCTATGTAAGGATTTGCTCTACTTACTATTATAAACACACATACACACAAATTCTATTTAAGGATTTGCTCTACTTACTATTGAAAACACACACACACACACACACACACACAATTTAGCAATTGAAACCAACCATTTTACTTTGTTCACAAGAATATTGAAGAGCTTGGCTGCATAGTTCTCACTTGGGATCTTTTAGGTGAATGTAGTAAGGTGTTGATTAGAGGTGCAATCAACCCAAGACATTTCACTTACATGTAGACAATTGAGGTTAGCTCTCAGCTGAGAGGTCAGCTCTAGCTGTTAACCAGAGCACCTATATGTGGCCCCTCTAGTTTGGCGGTCTCAGGTAGTCCGACTTCTTACCTGGTGGCTCAAGTGTCCCAGCAAACAAGGCAGAAACTACATTGCATTTTTTTTTTTTGCCTAGTCTGGAAAGTAACACAGCATCACTTTAGATACAATCTAGTGACTGCCAGAGACTACTAACAAGTCACCCAGATTCAAGCAGAGGGGACACAGAGCCCATCTCTTGATGCTAAGCCAAGTTCACTATGTAAGAGTATATGGGATGAGAGATACTACTGCAGCTCTGTTTGGAAAACACATGTTACAGAATTCAGGATCATCAGTGGTCTTAGTGTGTACACCAGAGAAAATAGCAATGCTGCCTAAGTTCTTTAAAGACAAAATTAGCCTCACATATGTATCATTTTCCAGTTAATTTGAATAACACCAATTTTGTTACTAACTCCTTTTTTAAGCTGCCACCTTGTTACATGCTTTGAAGGAAAAGAGTTAATAGCCCTAATGCAAGGTTTTGATTTTCTTTCATGGATGCTGCTGAAGAAAGATAATTAATAATAATGAGAGGCTTATTAAATTCAGGAGGAAGTGGTGGCATACAAATTATTCCTACCTAGTAAAAATATGTTTTTAAAAGAATAGCTCTTATAATTGCCATTCAGGATAATCAGGGAAAAAAAAAAGAAAAGCTTTTAATTAATTGAAGAAAACAGAGGAAATAGAGTATTCAGAATATACATATGTGTGTGTGTGTGCACACATGTTAGACTGCGGTAAGTACTATATCTATATCTACATCTCTGTTATATCCATATCTATCTATATTCCATACTCGCATCAACCTGCAGTTGAAGTAGAGACTCAATAGCTTCCCAAAGTCATGCAGCTAATTTGTAGAAGAGCTCAAGTCTGAAGTCAGTATTCAGTGATTTCAAAGCCTGTGCTCATTCCACATCATTTATATTAAAATACTAATATAAGTACATACTTTTTCTTAATAAAATGGTCATCTGAATGCTTCCTCAAAATAACTTTTCATTTATAACATGCTTTCTAAAAAGTTCCTCGATAAAACTCTTCAGCTCCTAGATAAATATGCAACTTTCATAAGTGAAACACGATTTCCTTGAAACACAGTCATTTGTTTCATATCGGCTTTATCATCATTAAAAATTCCCAGGAAATTCAACATGTATTTGTGAAGGTGAGAATCTTTACACTTTATAATTAAATTCATTTAGACATGGCTTGGAAGTCCCATCCTAATCTGATAAAAGGGAAAGTTAAAAGCAACAAGGAACTTGATTTTTTTCTTTCCTTGAATAAAATTTGTCCACTGGATAGGTAATTGCTTCTTCAAATCCTTCCAAATGACTTTACTTTGCTTGGATATCCAAAAATTATACAAATCAGCTTATATAAGATTAAAGAGAGAAATCTGAAAATGTATATCCATTAGTACATTTTCACAATTTATACAATCAAATCTCCAAAATCTTTACCATTTCAGTATTTTATATTAAAATACTGTCATTCCATTTCAGTATTTTATATTAAAATACTGTCATTCCATTTCAATACCTTAATAAATCATATGTTTTCAGAATAGTGAATTATTATTACTCCCCTAGGATGACATATGCAGGTCTTAAATGCTCTGCTGCACCTAGTTTAGGCCCAAGTTGTATCAATTATGGACTTCTGGTATTTGTATCTTTAACTTTACTACTTTAGGCACTGTATATGCCTAAATGCCATGCCATTTTTGCGTCTGTGATGCATACTACAGTGTCTTAACAGAGAACTGCAGCTATGAACTGACTTAAGCCAATTAAACCATTCACAAGTAATAGGTTCCTTTTGGTAGGTAACCATGGCCCTCTCTGCAAAAAAGTCTTTGAGGTAGGTGGAAATTAGCTACCCCATCCCTTACTTCTAGGTTGTAGTAACATACATTTGAGAATAAGTTCTGCCACATAAACATTTGTTAAACAAACATTTCTTAGCAAAGAGGCCAAAAAAGTTTACACAACCTGTTCTGTAAAATCAGTGCTATCCCAGCAGTTTGTCCTTTAGAGACTTCAACCATAACTCTGCTTGAAAGGTTCACCAAGGAAGTAGCAGCAACATTCCAGGACAGGATCTGCTTACTTTATTATGAGTCGAACAACCAGAAGTCTTTCTAATCCATGGGTGGACCAAGATTCCTTTAAGGCTCTAAGAGCACACTATTTTCATGGATGGAATTAATTATGCTTAGAAGCCTAATTAGCTAGGTATCAGATGTTGACCGAGTTCCAAAAAATGGAAGTGAATATAGTAGCCCCTACGTAGTGAGGCTTTGTGGAAAAGTGGCCAGCTAGAACATGCATTCTGTGCATTATTAGGGTAACTTACAGCTTCCATAGGTGAATTTTGCACAAAATTGCATGTTCATACTATTTACCTGGAGTCTACTAAAGTGTTTTGATGCAAAAGTGCTCCAAAACAAGAACTCTGACAATTTCTGCTCAATAAATCACACATTTACCCAGCTGACTAATAATTGATTTAACGCCTACCCCATGTCAGACACTGCTAGACACCCACCAGGATCACAAAGCTGAATAAGATATTGTTCTTACCTTCAAGAAGTTTACAGTCTAGTGAGAGAAACACAAGCAGAGTTATGAGTACAGCAGAAAGTGATGAATGCTAGAGTAAAGGTACAGCCAGGGTGCCAATGGGATCCCAATATATCAGATTCAAGAGTTTGTCTGATTTAACTTTTCAGAAGACATTATTCTTAAGGTAGTATTTGAAGATCAGTATGAATTAATTTAATGCACTAAGTGCAGAAAATAATTTTGGATAAAAGTAGCAGAACAGATATGAAAGCGCAGAGGCTGGAAATCTCACAATCCATTTTAAAGGCTGTTACATAGTTCAGAATGACTGGAAGAATGTGGGGAGTGAGCTGAGTATAGGGAGATGAGCTTAAGAAAACCAGATCTTTTAGGTTTTATGTGTTAAGGTCAGAGATTGAACTTTTCTGAGAGATATGAGGTATCAGGGAAGAATTTTATTCAGGAAGTAATGTATATTGTAAAAGGGCATTCCAACATCAATGGGTTCAAACAAGATTGAGAAGGAGGCAGAGTTGATGAGGGGGAGTACACATGAGAAGTGGTAAGAATTTGAACTAAGGCATAAGCATTGAAAACAGTGAACGAGAGAGATTTAAACAACCAATGGATAAATTCAAGAACCAATAGCACCTGAGACTGAGTGGATAATAGAGAGTGTGAGAAAAATCTAGAATATCTCAGAGCCTTGGCCTACTGCAAGGGTAGTGCCACTCACCCTGTACAAACAACTGACTAGCAGAATAAATAATGATTAAGTGCACAGTGGCTCCAATATGAAACATTTATTCTTTATTAAGTACATCCAAGAAATCAGTTTACCTCAGAAGTTTATAGAACTTTAAAATAAAAATGGAACGATATGTATGACAAGAGCCTCTTCTCATGATCAGAAACGAATACATCCATGTCCACCCTGCAGATTGTCTTTGCTCTTCTCTTGCTTGGCTTATTTTATATATGCCCATTACCTTCTATTTCTTTGTTTTAAGCGCTTTCTTTTTTTTAAGCATTTTCATGTTTGTCCTTGCTGGTCAACCTAGTAGTGATTATAGTTTATCAGGGTACATGTTTTATATTTGCAAGCACTACAAACTATAATCTCATAAAAGCATGTTACATAATCTGCAGTAAACATAGCCTAATGTACACAATTCTCTCCTGAAATACTTGATAACAAACAACTTAAACTGGAAGTCAAAAGTAATATGTAAAATAAGATATGATCTACAGCTGTATCAAGATTATTAATTACTCTAAGTGACTGCCTCTATGCAGAGTCGCTGGTTCATTAGCACATATATTTATATACTATAAAATTTAAAACAGGGACATACATGTTTAACTATAATGTGATTGCTCCATCATGCAAATATGTATGTCCTTTCCATTAAAAGTTAGCTTAAAATTCCTATATAATATACCTTGTCTTTTTAATAAAATGTTTTTCCTTAAAATTCTCAACTTTTATTTTTAAAATATAAAAACAGAAAAATCAGTATATACAATTCCATAAACAGTATGGTTAACTGAGAAAGCAATTATATAGCATACAAGCAAGTAACTTACAAAGACATAGAGATCTATAAAATATACATAACTATAAAATTCATGTAACAGCATTACAACATATAATTTAATATTTTAACATTTTCAAAAGGTCTTTTAGAATTACAAAGACTATTAAGCATAGGATTTCAAAAGTCAGTTGTGTTGTGGATGTTTGAAATGTCACTTCTCTTAAATGCTCTTTTATTAAGTTTAACACTAAATAACAGATTTTACTATACCAAAATCAAAGAAGAATGCAGGCAGTCAGGCAAATCCAAAAGCAGAATGATTTACTGTGTCACCAATTCTAACAAAATACACCAAAAAAAATCTCATAAATAGAGCTATTTCCTACAAATAACCACATGTGAATGCTTATGTTAGGAAGATTAAGATTAATACTAAGAGTATGCTGTCATGTTAACACGTTACATTCCAAAAGTAGCTTCCCTTTTTTTTTTTTTTTACAGTATAACAGACTATACATTTTCTGATTATAGTAACAGAAAAATGTGACATGCCAACATTAAGAACAGGTTTCTTAAGAACTAAATAAAAATTATCAATGAAAAACACTATATGCATATTGAGCACCCCCAGTATTAGTCATTTTTAACAAGAACAATTTGTAGGGTTTAAGATGTCTATAGTTGGATAAATTTTTCCAAGAAAAAGATATGTGACAAAAATAGTGTTATAGACTTATTTCTGCCAAAATGTCTTCTAGCATATTGTTTTAATTTTAATAACCTAATTTTTAAAAAAATCAAGAAATAAAGAATTTAGCCAGTGAAAATAGCACTAGAGGTTTACACATATTTTCCCTCTCATGTTTTAGTATTAAGTTTTAGTACCTTCTCACATCTTGAAAAGTGCAACTTTGAATTTGTTGGGTTCACATGTATCACACTTCTCATGTTGCTGCCAAGTATAGATGGATACAGTGATATGTCTAAAGTCATATTCTACAAAGTAAATATTTTCATTTTGAATCACTTATTTTTTCTAATTTATGTTATATTAACATAGAAAATTTAAAATTATGAAGTTGAAAACAACTCATAAAGTTGTCTCTTTTCTCTGTATTCCCAGGAAGAAATGACTAGCAAAGAATTTAGAAAGAATGATTATAATACATGTAACTATTAAATAACATATATTTAGAAGGAAATGTTTCAATTGTTTGTTATACTAAAACAGATGTTTAGAATATCATACATTCATTTTAGGATACAAAATATGCTTTCACATTTTAGGCAATAATTACTGAACTATTCCTTGGATTCATATATGCAACAATATACTTTTAGGATCTTTGTTTAATAAGATAATGTATTGATTTTAATAAAGAACATTTCCCTTTCATATTGCTCAATAACAATCGTATGCTGGTAAAAAGGATTACAGTTAAAAAGCAGAATAAAAGAACAAATACAACTGGGCATTAGAATAACTACATTGTGCTCTATTTAACCAACAACAGTACATAATTTAGAAGACAGATTTAAAAGACAAGTCAGTATTTAAATGAGCATCATGGGGTAAACCTCCATCATTTGAAATATTCTATATACAGAAAACATCTATAATCACACTGCTTGAAAAATTTCTCTTGCATATCCTTTAATATTTTCATGTGTTAAAAACACATTGAATTATCTCACTGGCTTTGGGCCCAATTCTAATTTATCAAATTGACCATGGTGGCAAATATATTCTGAGGAAGAGGTAGCAAAAAACAATGTGAAAGGACAGGAAACTTGGTTAATAAATAGATGTTGCCATATTGTTTGATGCAGATGTAACTTTCCTACTGAAGTTAATAAAAAATGACCTCTAAAATATACGCAAGATAAGTAATAAACCAAAAAGATATCTTTACAAATGTAAGGACATGTGAACAGGCATACACATGCACAAACACTAACACACCCCTACATCTATCTTTCTGGATAGTTCTCTTTCCAAATTCAACATTTTTGAGAAAACAAAACAAAACAAAACAAACAAACAAGAAACCAGAATAAAGGAAGTCCTAGGAAAATATATTCCAGTGTTTGATCATCCTTTACATTGATATCATCTCTCCAATAAAATGCTTAGTGTTGATGACATATGTATTATTAAAGACTAAATCCCCCATGGAGTACGTAAGATGTTAACAAAGTCTTCATCATCTACTATTCCTATACTTAAACCTTCATAGTAATCTTCAAATTCACCATATGACACTTCATCAGACTTGCTGCAGGCAACTTTTAATGTTTCTAGAAAGGATGATTTGATTTCTTCCTCTGTTGAATGGCCTATAAAATAGTACTGAGTATGAAACAGTTTCCTGAAAAGTTCAGTGAAATGACTGATGATGATAAAGGAATACTTAATCATCTTATGAAATACTTTCAACAATTTGAAATCTTTTGTCAAACTACCAGCCAATTTATTTACACATGAACTGGAATTATTTCATCTCATTCGATTTGCCACTCCTTCCCTGCCCCCTGCTCTCCTGCACTGATCTATCTCCAGGATCCCAGCACAGAACACAGTTTTTTTGATCATAAATTTTTAAAAAGAACAGAGGAATTGAAAGATGAAAGGAAGCTATAGTGACTGGTCAGATAACACTGAAAAGAGAATAAACAGAGGCCCATATATAATAGTAGAAAAAGGGTCAAAAATTTCTATGTGACCCTCTAAAACGTTTTAAAGTCAGGTTATGCTTTAAATAACAGGCTTAGATGGGAATACTACTCAAACCATTTGTCTAATGGGGTGGACAAAATTAAGGTGAGAGTTAATTTTTTTTCCCTCAAACCAGAGGTTCTCTAATGGACTTAGACAATAATGCATTGCAAAGGGTCTTTCAAACTAAAGGAATGAAATCTACTTTGAATATTAAGAAGTTTGCTTTCTTTTAAAAACATACACAAGAAATAGAGAAAAAGTCATTACTTTATAAAATACAAGTTGAATGTAAAAAGACTGAATAATGGTGCTACGTAGAGATGGTAATATAAAATAATAAAATGAAGTTTTAATTGAATGTTAGTCAAGGCTAAAAATTAATCAAGATCCAAACTATATGAAAACATAGATTTTGGTAGAAATTTCCATCTTTGTTTACCAGCCATACTTTTGAACAGAGGAGTTTTAACACAGTTTTTTTTCTGAGGAAACATTTTTCACTCAAATTTATATTTCAAATAGCGAAGAATTTCATACCTCCTTTATACCCCTCACCCAGGAAATATCTACCTCCTATCACCTATAACTAAATTTTTTTCAGTCCTCTCGGAGACCAGAAAATATTTACAGCAAAAAATGTTATATTTCTAAAACTATTATACAGAAATACATTTGGGATATACCATTTCTATTAAACCTTAAAATACTTTTATCTAATATATTACTTAAGCAAATTTAAGAAGGAATATTTTCTATAGTTAAAATTAAATTGTATGTGGTATAAGAGCTTTACCTTAAAATCAATTGTAAATTGTGAACAAACTATATCCCAGAGGTGCGCATGTGAATAGATTATAATTTGCAATAATAAATAATAATGGGGTACTTTTTTTCTTCTTTGAAATACAGTGACAAGTTTTCTTCTATTTAGGAATATTTAGCTTGCCTGTTGTCATTTTTAATATGAACGCAAAGACAAATTATGGAATTTTTGAAACCAAAAAAGGCTTTCCCAACAACAACAAAAATAAAACCCTCATCAAAAATTCCATGACACATAATAAAACTGAAGCTATTTTAGCAACCTAAATAATATTATTAGATGAGAAAAGAGAAAGAAAAAAATACATGATGTTAAACTATTTCGTTCTTATATTTAGTATGACTAATTAAGAGAAACAGATAATGACGTGTTTAAAGGAAAAAAATACACTAGCAACAATTAAACATACACTAAAAATTCTCATAGAGTAGCTGTAGTTTATTTAATGTTATGAATAAGTAAATCAAACTATTTCGACAAGAAATAGATAATTAGAAATTTGGAATCCAGTGATGATTAGTTTTAATCTTCATAACCAAATCTCATGATTTCATTTCATACTTAAAAGTAATAAATTAACCATATATGAGGGTTAATGATGACGAGAAACCAAAGTAATTACAGTGTATCTCTTTTAATAGTAAGGAATAAAATTCTAAAAATAATAGTATTCTATAGTATTTAGCAGTACAGAATTAAACTTATAAGTTGAAAAGAAATTGCTCATAAAATATTGTCAATAAATATTCCTTAAAGATGGACAATCAATAAATATACAAATGTAGGTTTAACCTCCCTAGTAATGAAGGAACTCCATGTAAAATGGGTTTTTTTAACCCATCAGACTGGCAAAGTGAAATTTTTTGGCAAAGTTGTGGAGGAAAAGAACTCTTCAACAAATGGCTATATAATTTAATATAGTCATTTTACAATGTAATTTGGAAGTATCACTTAAAATTTTAAATGCAGACATCCCAGTAATTCTAGGTATTAATATCACTCCAGGGAAGCAGTAGAAAACAGGCCTAAAGAGTCACAAATAAGCACATTTATTGCTTCATTAGTTGTTGATCAATAATTAGAACTTAAAATCTAACAATAAAAGAATGGCTAGGTAAATGATAGTATATTGATTCATAAAAAGAATAATATACTGCAAGATAAAAAATAAGGTGGCTCAATGTGGATTAACATATAAAGAACTCCAAAACATACTTGTGAGTGTAAAAAGCAAATTATATAACATTATCTTCAGTGCGCCTTTCATGTCAAAAAAACTTCAAAAAGTATTAAATATTTATAGCATGCACATAGCCATGAAAATTCATAGAGTAAGTAAAATTCATAATGTATTAACTGAAATATATATATGCTAAATGATAATTTTGACTTCTATGGAAGGAAATGTAAAGAGGAGAGTTGTGGTAGTCAAATGCTTTCTTTATAAAAAGCATGCACTTATAAAACAATTATGTAAAAAAGTTAGAAAAAATATAGTAGGATATAAATCTCCAGAGTTACTTTAGGGAATTTACAATATCCTCAAATTTTGATAGATATATGTATGTTCATTCTATGTATAGCTCCATCCCTAGAGAAAGACACTCCTTCATTCTGCTTAAATCCTTAAGTATGGATAACTATATAAGCAGATACAGTAAAAATAACTCTGAGAACCTGCATATGTATTTATCTATTTTCTAAACCTATTTCATTCTTTTTAACTTAAATCCCTTACTATCTCCTAAGTAGGAAATGAGTTCTATATTGATAATAAATATCAAATAATCAAATGAGTATGGGCAATAGACCTAAGAATTTTTAAATGAAGAAAGGCAAATAGTTCATAAGTTTCCAGTTCAAAAAAATAGTTTATTTCCTCCCTAATGGCCTCAGTCTAAGGTTTAAATTAATATAAAGATATTATCTTTATTAAGTAACATTTTCAAAGTCCAATGCATTTTAACTCCGAATAATTACCTGAAATTACTTGAGAATGCTTCTTTGCACAGTAACATTTTCTTATGTTTATAATAGGCACACTGCCACTTTTGTTGAAATCCAGTTTCATAAAGGCCTAAACAGACAAATATTATTATTATTAGTTTGTTGGTTGGTTGTTTTGCTTTGCTTTGAGACAGAGTCTCGCTCTGTCACCCAGACTGGAGTGCAATGGCGTGATCTCAGCTCACTGCAATCTCCGCCTCCCAGGTTCAAGTGTTTCTCCTGCCTCAGCCTACCGAGTAGCTGGGACTACAGGCGCCCGCCACCACACCTAGCTATTTTTTGTATTTTTAGTAGAGGCGGGGTTTCGCCATGTTGGTCAGGCTGATCTCAAATTCCTAACCTCAGGTGACCCACCCGCCTCGGCCTCCCAAAGTACTGGGATTATAGGCATGAGCCACCACGTCCGGCCTGGCAAATGTTATTTTTTAAGTAAAATTATTAGACATAGGAATCTAATATTCTATTTTACAGTAGGTTATTTCTGAGCTATAAACAAGACATTTTAAAAGTACTATACTGATACACAAAAGAACAATTATAAATACAGGAGGAAAGATAGTGAAGCAAGATATTAGGAAATCTGTACTCAATTAGAAAGTTCTACCACTTTCTAGCATCCTGACCTTGAGAAAGTAACCTGACCTCTATTTCCATGGCCTCTCTCCCCTGAAAACTGAAGAGATGGGTAAAAGACCTCTCAGGTAACTTCCATCTCTAGGATTCATATGAAACGCATAAATGGCCAAAAGAGATTGCCAAGACGAATATTTTAACTCAAGAAGTGAATTTGCAAATATTTCCTCCCTAAAATCAATGAAAAAGTGAAATACCTTTTAAATGAGTTATGTTACTCTATTTCTTGAAATTTAATACACTTTTTAAAATGTAGTTGTGCTATTGTTCCTCTAATTCAGTGTAGCTCTATCATAAGATATCATGAAATATTTCACTGGGAAGAGTATTCACTACTTAGAAAGACACAAGCTACCCAAAGCAACATTCTGCATTCGTAGTGGGGTCAAAACTAGAATCAAGTCTGGTTATTCATAATATTGCATTCACAGAAATATGGAAGCTGTTGTAGATTGACTTGTGTTCCTCCAAAATTCATATGTTGAACCTAATCCCCAGTAGCTCAGAATATGACTGTATTTGAAGGTAGGACCTTTAAAGGGATAGTTAAGTTAAAATGAAATCATTAGGGTGGCCCCTTATCCAATATGACTGGTGTCTCCTTATAAGAAGGCAGTAGGGCCAGGCACGGTGGCTCATGCCTGTAATCCCAGCACTTTGGGAAGCTGAGGTGGGTGGATCACCTGAGGCTTCAGGAGTTCAAGACCAGCTTGGCCAACATGGAGAAACCCTGTCTCTACTAAAAATACAAAAATTAGCCAGGCATCGTGGTGCGTGCCTATAATCCCAGGTACTTGGGAGGCTGAGACAGGAGAATCGCTTGAACCCAGAAGGTGGAGGTTGCAGTGAACCAAGATCACACCACTGCCCTCCAGCCTGGGCAACAGAGCAAGACTCCACCTCAAAAAAATAAATAAATAAAAGATAGTAGGACACAACACAGACAAAGGGAAGACCATGTGAGGACACAGAGAACAGGCAGCCATCTGCAAGCCAAGGAGAGAGGCCTCAGAAGAAACCAAACCTGCTGACACCTTGTTTGTGAACTTCTAACCTCCAGAGCTATGAGACAATAAATTTCTATTATTTCAGTCATCTAGTCTGTGGTATTTTGTTATGGCAGCCCAAGCAAACTAATACAGAACTGTATAACACTTCTCTTGCCCTCTATTCCCATTACTAAGATTTATGAAAGAGACAAGCCTCCAATTTCTACACCAGTTTCTCAAACCTATCACCAGGAAGGACATGGAAAGTACGAATAAGTACACATTTATAAATATTATGTGGTGAATTTGTCTAATTTAAGGTTTTTACTATGTCTCTTGCCCAGTAAAAGTAGAGACTAATTTCTCTATTTGGGATTTCTATAGTTATTTACATTATATAGAATAGCTTTGTTTCAATATTAAGTACATATGCAAAAGAAAAAAGATAACTATAGTTCTCAAAAGTATGCTATAAAAAATGGCTACCAAAATCCAAGTAATACATAGCTTCCTATTAAAGTCAGTACTCCTGTTTTTAATTCCAATTTAACATGATTATCTTAATTTACAAGTTAATATTTATCATGCATATTCTAAAGACCAGAGAAACATTTTTTAGTCATCATCCTAAAACAAAATGACTGGAGTATTGACACTGGAACAGCCACAATGCTAAGAATGGTATATGCATTATCTTATTCAATCTTTACACCAACTCTGTGAGATAGGAAACTGAGGCTTAGGAATATTTTATAATACATATATTCACGTAGCTAGTCATTTATGGAGGCAACAACTTATGGAGCTAGTAATTTGTTAACCAAAATTTGATTTCAAATTTTATTTTCCTTTCATAGTATTTTTCTAAAATATATACACAAGTTATTTTGCTTCATTCTGGGTTGATTTGTATGCATATGGACCTGTTTTCTGTTTTACTAAACCCAACATATAAGTAAATAGATTTAAAACTTTTAAATGGTAATTCATTAAAGTTTTAAAATACTGAACCTAACAATCTATTAAAAATAACAATTTGAAAGATTACTTAACAAAGTTACCTTTCGAACATATGATTTCCTGTATTCATTCATTTCACCAATAATACCACGTTTGAATTCTCCATAATCAACCTTGCCATTGCCATTGTCATTCAGAATTAGCCATGCAGACTCAAAATCCTAGAAACAATCAGAGATAACTGTTGCATTTTTAAGTTACATATCGTCACAACAAAATCATCTTAGTTGTATTTTGTTACATCTTCTGTAGTCCTAGATATAACTCATTTAATAAGAAAATTGAAGAAGCTACATAAAAATCCAATCAAAACCACTAAAAAAGTGATTTAGAGGAATCTGTGGTGAATGGTTCTGTAAAGTTAGGAGCCATTTAGGAATGGCAATAGCTCACAAATTTACTTTTTTAAGTTTTATTTTTGATGGACAAATAATAATTGTATATAGTTATAGGGCACAATATGATATTTCAATACATGTGTACATTGTAGAATAATACAATCATATCTATCATCTTAAATATTTATCATTTATTTGTGACAAGAGCACTTAAAATCCTCCCTTTTAGGTATTTTGAAATATACATTATTATAAACTATAGTTTCCATGCTGTGCAATAGATCACCCAGAACTTAATCCACTGTGTAATGAAAACTTGTACCTTCTGACCAATTTTCCATTTTCCTTGTATACCACCCCTCTCCCCATGCTCTGGTAACAAACTTATCTTTTCAACTTTAATTTATTTCTATATCTATACATCTATCTACCTATAGATATATAGATATGTGTGTGTGTCTGTGTATGTGTGGTTACCATTTACTCAGTTTTGAACATTTAAATACTTTTAATGTATTATATCTGTGTTAATTCAAAAGTCACATCCGGTCCTGGAGTGCTTCCAATGGCATTATAACCACTAATTATATTTCTGCTAGTCTTCATGCTTGAAAATATAGATTTGAATGACTCTAATATTATTCTACAATTTACACTGAAAGGTATAATTTGGAATAAATCCCTTATGCCAGTTTATTCACTTTACCATTACCATTTACTTCTTCATCAAATGCACTATTTAATAGAAAGTTCTAACACAGTTTTCCTTGACAACAAAGAAATTACAGCATCATTTTCTCAAACTCAAGTAAATATATTTTTTCAATGTTTTAATCAAGTTGTTAGCTTTAAATGTGAATGTAGATAAAATACCTAACAAGGTGCTTAGCAAATAATAGGTACTCAAAAAACATCATCTTCCACTCCCTCCTATTTTTTTCAAATAAAACTTTAACTAGAAAAACAAAATCTAAAGATGCCTGCCTTCCCTCAATTCTCAACAACCCCATACATCTTTGTCTATCATAATGTACTGCACATTATGCAGACTTTAAGTGTCTGTGTAGTTAAACTGAAGATGAGCTTGACCTTTAAAATCATGAGTAATATGTACAGGAGAAGACCAATTTGCTCATCCAATTCATGGATTACTAGAATTGAAAGATACTTCTTAAAGCTTAAAAGAAATAATTTTCAAGAATTGAGTAATTTAACATAATTGTCAACAACAAGAAATACATATTTATATTTATATATACTTAAGAGATATAAATATATATACTCTTTCTTTCAAAGATACAGTACACAATGGAAAATAATTACATTTAAAAAAGCTGAAGGAAATCACTAATAGTAACTCTATATAAATTAGGCTTTTTAGGGTACATATCAATTTTTTTAATCTCAAATCAGGGAGAATGGCTGACTATGCCTTCCCACAAACATTCTTGTTTCAAAATTAGACCTAGGTTAGTGATTCTTAAGTTCTTCTTCTCGAGCTGTTTGTATATGCTTATCATTGCATGAGCAGTTTACAGTGATATTACAGAAAAAATATAAAATATTAAAATATATGAGAAAAGGAGGAAGCATGCTCATATTTTCATAATATGTTCCCTCTATGTTAGAAGTCTTATATAATTACTGTAGTTTTTGTTCCTAGATCTAATCATAACAATTTAGCAAATTAATCAAAAAGGGAAGTATTGTTATGATACAGAAAAATTACTAGACGGGAATATGTTTTCTGCGTTCTAGTCCTATATCAGCTATTACTTGTGTGTGATTTTATAAACACATACACACGCAAGCACACACACACAAACACACACATATATATACATATATATATATTATATATATATGTTTTCATCCATAGGACCAGTTCATAATTCCCATTGCCCTTCCTTGTTCTTGTTACAATCTTTTATTATGACAGTTGGGCACTTCAGGCCTTAGAAAATGGAATCTCTCTCTCTCTCTCTCTGACCTTCTCCTGCCCTTCTTTCACCTTAAGCTCCTTTCCCTCTTCAAGGCAGGAATCGTCTCCTGCCTTTCTGTGTTGGAGCTGGCCATAAAATATTCTCTGACCTCCCTTGTCTAATTGTAGGCCATAAGACCCCCATTTCAGAAGGGGTCCTGCCCCCACCATGGAGGAAGGAATGCTGCTCAGAGGCCAAGAAGAGTCAGAACAGGCATTCCTTCCTGGGTTTCCTCCTTCAGTCTATCAGTATTAGGTCATACACTTTTGTCCAATCACATTTCTACACAGTTATGCATGTATCAGTCATGTCTATCCAATGTAGTCTCCATAGAAAAGCCAAGAGGACAGGGTTCAGGGAGCTTCTGGGTAGCTAAGCTTGTGGAGGTTCCTGGAGGGTGGCACCCAGGGAGGGCATGAAAGCTCTGCACTCTTTTCCCGATACTTTGCGTATTCATCTCTTCATCTGTATCCTTTGTAATATCCATTAGAGTAAACCAGTAAATATAAGTTTTCCTGAGTTTTGTGAGCTGCTCCAGCAAATTAATTGAACCCAAGGAGGGGGTGGTGGGAACCCCCAACTCGAAATTAGTTGATCACAAGTTCCAGGGACCCAAACTTGTGACCGGTGCTCTATGCAGAGTGTGTTGGGGGAAGGGGTTGTCTTGTAGAACTGAGATCTCACCCTGTGGGATCTGAGGCTACCTCCAGGTAGATAATGTCAGAATTGAATTGAATTAGAGGCTATCCACTGGGTTTCTACAGCTTGGTATGGGTGGAACCCCCACAAGCATTTGGTTGCAGAAGTATTCTGTGTTGATTATTACTGTGTGAAAGCAGAGGAAACATAGTTTGTGTTATTTTTCTATTCACACTCATGTGATTGTAAGCAAAGACATCAAGGCTTTCTAATTTCCTATTGCTGTTTTGTTATTGTTGTTGTTGTTTTAATCTACAAAACGAAGAGAGGAAGTTAGATGATCCCTAGTATGTATCACTAGGTAGGCAAAAGATTAAACATCATAAAAACCAAAAAGATGGGTATGTCAGAACAATGTTAGGCAACATGATATTGGCACAGAATTGTACAGCTGATATGGCAGATTCCCATGTAATTTTCTTATTTGAGCTTCCAAGCAACTCTAACTATAGCAATTACCTCTGGATTGCTCAGGCAGAGCCCCCCAATCAAAAAAGTTAAAAGACTGGTCCAAGATCATACAGTTCAAATAGCAAAGCTGGAACTTGAACCTAAATGTCCTAAGTTCAATTTACAGTGTTCTTTCTACAAAATACACATCTTGTGACAAGATCATTTGAAGCAAAAGAGAACAATGCAAGAGATCCTTTATCTGAAATCCTTGAGACAAATGTGGTTCATATGCTTTTAGAATAAAATCCAACCCTCTTAGCATGACATGCAAGACTTTAATGTACCAGACATTTCTCTCCATTCTTCTCTTTTCCTTCCTTCCATAAATTTATCCATTCAAACTAATGCATTATCTACTTAACTTTCCATATGCTGGGTTCTATTTCAGATGTTAATAAAGAGCAGGAACACAAAAACACTCTGGTCCCCACCCTGATGAGACTTAATGATCTACTGGCAGGCAGAGTCAGAAAATATTTACAAAGTGGCATGAAAAAAAATAAAATGAGAAATTGGTATAGAAAGGACCAAGGATCAGATGGGAGTGCTCCTTTAGACAGAAGTGTCAGGGTAATGCTCTTGACAGAGAAAGCTGTGGCCTGAATACTAAGAAAACCCAGTATGTGAAGATCTAGTAGAAGATTATTCACAGTGGAGGGAACAGTATATGTGAAGATTATTAATCATTTGCAGTGTCAGAAACAGGCCACACTCCCTTCCCCTCCAAGCTTTCACATGTGTCTCCTTCTCATAAAATACACATTGTCTGATTCACACTCCTTTTTCTCCCTCGTCTGGTTAATTCCTCCTCAACCTTCAAAACTCAGCTTAGATGTATCCTCCTCCAGGCATCCTTCCATGATCTTTGTTCTCCTTCCCCACAACCTGTCTTGGAATCAGGTACCTACCCCATGGTGTTCCAACAACATTCTCCACTGAATACATATTTTGTTTTATGTTCATTGTCCTTCAATTATGGTGATCTTGACAGTACAGAGTATTATCTCAGAGCTTAGCACAATGCCTGGTTATTAAGCTCTTTATAAATATAGGATGGAGCAATGTTTAAACTTTAAAAACCAACAGGGCTTGTAACCTGATAGCTTAACACTGATAAAGGGCATAGAGAAGGAGAAAATAAATGAAAACTAAAATTTCAGTAGAACAGTGAATAATGCCACCTAAGAATAACATATTATCTGCTGCAGAGAATTTTCTGTAGCACATACCTTTTCAGACACTTCTAAGTGAAACACTTTTAGAGCTTGCTTAAAATCTGCCTTATCTAAAAGTCCATTTCCTTCCTTGTCCAACTGTTGAAAATATTTTCCCAATCCAGTCAAAATACGAACACCTCTTTTATGTAGTTTTTCTTTTAGCACATCTGTTCAACAAGAAGAGAGATGAAAACAAATTGTTCCTATGCATAAATGTATAAAGCCGCAGTTATCTTTCATAAGAAAATTAAAGTTGATGTAACTGAAATAAGGAATGTGAATATTCAAACAAATCAAATGTAAGACAAAAGACTTTGGAAAATAGGATGTTTTTAATCAAGAGGATTAAACATAAAATCACATGTAAATATGCCAGAACTATAGCACCACTGTGTGGTGGAAGTGGTATGTTTTTAAAACAGAAAAATACAGTTTCACTTTATCACCAAGAGAATAACCTAAATATTACAAATAAAATCTTAGATTTTGTTGTGTAGACAACCTCTTTAACCACCCCATATCTTTAATCTGTTTTCCTTTTCTTAGTTTTTATCAACTGAATTACAAAATTGATGACAGGCAAGTCACCCAAAAATTATCAGTTCAACATTTTAAAAATAGTTTGAAATCTTCAAATTGTAACTTCTATACAAAATAGCATCAAAGCTTTTGAATTCTATCCTATACTTATATATTTCATAAGAGGTTATTTGCTTAGATCCCTAGCATTCTCTTTGTAGCTGTTATTTCACTTAATGCACTTTGTACCATATTTACTTAAGAATAGATTGGTAACTTTACTAAAGCAGTTATTAGATATAATACATGAGAGAAAAAAACAAATGTCACCAAGTTCAATTGTGACAAATACTGTATTGACAATGATATAATAAACTGTTTACACACTTTGGCATCAAGAACATATGAGAGTCCAAACGAAACTTTTCAAATCTGTTTCTTGCCTTCTTACTGTGAGCCCCTTATCTTTAAAAGATAAATCAGGATTCATGAAAATTCACAAATTAGGCCAAGTGTGATGGTTCATGACTATAATCCCAGCACTTTGTGAGGCCAAGGTGGGAGGATCACTTGAGCCCAGAAGTTCCAGACCAGCCTGGAGAACATAGCAAGACCCTGTCTCTACAAAAACATAAAAAAAAAGATTTAGCCGGGTGTGGTGGCATGCACTTGTAGTCCTGGCTACTCAGGAGGCTTGAGGCAAGGAGGCTCACTTGAAACCAGGAATCTGAGGCTGCAGTGAGCTGTGATTGTACTATTGCACTCCAGCCCAGGCAATGGAGCAAGGCTCTCTCTCAAAAAAAAAAACAAAAAAAAAACATAAATTACATGTTAATTTCTGTGATTGCTTATTCAATATCTTTCTCCATTTTATACTATGAGATCCAACAGAGTAACTGTCTAATCGAGTCTACCATACTGCATTTTCCCAAATTTGGAAAATGTTTAAGTATCCAAAACTGACATATATCTAATTTATTACCTACAACAACCCTGGAAATTTCATATGAGAAGTACTATCATCCCTATTTTAGAGATGAAGAAAGAGATGCAAGAGATTTCTCTAAAGTCATGTGTGTCTTGCACAACAGAGTCCAAACATCAATCTGGCTCCCAGTCTAGCTTTTTTTTCTTTTACACTAGGACACCACAAACCTCTTCAGGATGTTATCTAGTACATAAGACAAGTATTATATTACAAAAATTACTTTCACATTTTATTCAGTTTATGAGTAAAACCCATATTATCTAGTAATTTCTAAAACACTTAATTTTATAATTCATATAATACTAGTTAGGACCATTAAAGTAAGGAAAATCTTAAAACGTTTAGAAATCCTAAACAATAAAAGCATATATATATATATATATATATATATATATATATATATATATAGCTTATTTTAAAAAGTATATATATATATAGCTTATTTTTAAAAGTATATATATATATATATATATATATATATATATATATATATATATTCTTTTTTAAATAAGCAAAGGGTAAATATAAATCAAGTGCCACTGAGAAATATCTGGGAAAATGCTGTTTTACTGATTATAAAAAAGGACTGAAAATTCAAAGTACTTGAGAGTACAGTAATAACACATACCTTGAATTGCTTTGAAGACCAGCCTATCATTGGTTTCTTGAATGATTATATCATCCTCCTGTTCCATAGAAGCAGTTCTGCAATTGACATGTTCACAGGGATGAAATATATATATATTCTATTTTACAATCTTGAGTATAAAACCTCTAAGCTCTTCCCTGCTCCAGACTCAAAGAAGCTCTCAAACTTGGAAGAGTGCTTAGAATTTAATCAAGTCCCAACTCTGCCTGCTGCTTTGATGCCTAAGAAGATTAAACTGAGAGCTAAAATCCTTAAAATCTTACAAGGACTACTTGTAAAACTACTTGTTTTGTTTGTTTTTTGTTTGTTTGTTTGTTTTTGAGACAGAGTCTCGCTCTGTCACCCAGGCTGGAGTGCAGTGGCGAGATCTCGGCTCACTGCAACCTCCGCCTCCCAGGTTCAAGCGATTCTCTCACCTTAGCCTTGTGAGTAGCTGGGACTACAGGCACCTGCCACCACGCCCAGCTAATTTTTGTATTTTTTAGTAGAGACGGGATTTCACCATGTTGGCCAGGCTGGTCTCGAACTCTTGACCTTGTGATCCGCCCACCTCAGCCTCCCAAAGTGCTGGGATTACAGGAGTGAGCCGCTGCGCCTGGCCAACATTCATTTTGTAACAATTTTAATGTTTTAAACATTTAATTAAAACTATTAAATTTAAAAGCAATTTTACCTTGCAAAGCATAAAATGAAAAACTATTATTTTTAAAAGCCCCCTCAAATGCATTCATTTTTAGCAATATAGTAAATGATGAAGAAACACAGACTTCCTTACAGCCATTTTGTAGGATATAGCCTCTAATGTGTATATATATATAAAATATATATTATATATACATATTATATATGTATCTATACATATTATGTATGTATAGATCTATACATAATAGATCTATATATAATGTAATATAATCTATAATACATATATAATATGTATATATTATATATTATATATAATATCACAGGAATATATATTTTTTAATCAAAATATATATTCCTGTTATTAAAAAAATTCATTTTAAAAGCAATGTTTGATGTCTAGAACTAATTTTTCACTGTGCACTTTATCAATCAATGAATACTGTAAGCATATGGGACCCTCAGACTTTTTTAGATACTAAAAAAAAATCATAATAACAATGTGAAAAAATTGTTATAGTATTGTATTGATATCCTTTTTTAAATTTATTTCTTTTGGTAATACTTGGTAAAATAAAAGTGTTATAGCAAAGGCAAATTAATAAGGTATCTTTAACATAAAATTGAATATTTTCAAATATTTCATTGATTATAACTGTTCCCACACATGAAGTGTATTTGAGTACAAGATAGTACATAAAAAAGACATACGTAGCTATGCTTGTTTTTTCAAAATATAAACCTTAATGAAGTTATAAATACCTTATAGTAGAATGTCATTTTAAGATAATTTAAAAATAGTGTTTTCACCTACTTTCAAATTGCCAAATGCATATTTAACTTACTTGAGAGAATCCAAAGCTATTTGATCAATATTTGTGATTCGGAGTTTAAGTAATGTGTTTTCTTTGATGCTTTCTGGAAGGCTGAGATGATCAGAACTCAAAAATGTCAAGGTTGCACCCTAAACAAAAGAACAGATGAATGAAGCTAGAAAGCATGTAAGAAATAAAATATAACTAACATCAATTTTAAATAATGGATTTTGATTAATGTGACACGATATACTTTAACAAGGGTAAGAAGTATATTTGGAGAATGCTTATATGTATTTGGAGAAACTATATAGATAAACCAATATCTCTGTCAATCTCAGAAGTCTTCTATTTAACAATCCATGTGAACAAAAAAGTCAGCAATATAATAAACTCAGTTTGTTTAATGAGAATGAGAGGAAAAAAGAACAAATAATTTAATTTAAATTATGACCTCCCTGAATAGAGCTAATGGCCTACAGAATGACATACCACAAACTGAAGAACTGTGAAGATTTCTCATACTCTTTCACAGCTGAACTTTTGATGACAGATGTTGCCTAATTATAAAACCTAATTTCAACCTAATTAGAACTTCAAAACTTCAGCCACAAAATTCCTATCAAAAAATCTTATTCTAAACTTATAAAATGATTATTTTAATTTCTGAGCTGCTCAAATAAACAAAGCCAGTGTAAGGACAAATACCAAATATAATTTTTATTTTTTTTTGAGATGGAGTCTCGCACTGTCGCCCAGGCCGCAGTGCAGTGTCACGATCTCTGCTCACTGCAGCCTCTGACTCAGGGGTCCCAGAAATTCTCCTGCCTCAGTCTCCGAAGTAGCTGAGTTACAGGTGCCCACCACCACGCCCGGCTGGTTCTTATCTTTATTTTTTTGTATTTTTAATAGAGACGGGGTTTCACCATGTTGGTCAGGCTGGTTTCAAACTCCTGACCTCGTGATCCACTTGCCTGGGCCTCCCAAAGCGCTGGGATTACAGGTGTGAGCCACCACGCCTGGCCAACAAATACAAATTATAAATAGGGGCTTAATTCTGCCTGTTGAATATAAAGGAAGGATGTCCCTCCCCTCCATTTTCTCAGCACATTTACTTTACAGAATTTGTAATTGTAATGTAAGTACTTTCTCCTCTCTTTGAAATGTATACAAATACTTCTGAAAATTAGATAAGCCTGTTGTCAGCTTTATGACCTAGATAAGGCTTTCTCAAGGACCGGTGAGCCACTCTTTGAGTGTAAACAGCAAGGGAGAGAGCACTGTTATCTCCCAGTTTCTGTGAGAGGGTGGGAGCCTAACTTTCTTAGGCACCTTGCTCTAAGTGCAGAACCATCTCCTGTCACAAAGATATGAAAAGTTTGTTTTTTCCCCCTCCCCCACCTCGGATAAAGCCAATTAGCTAATACAGATAGTCACTCTAATTACCAGGTCAATCTAGGATAAACTATGTGTGACAAATGGTACCCCGGAGTCTTCTTACTTGAGGACTAGTTATTGTTTACACCAAAAACATGTATGTGTCGGGATAGGAAGGAGGTGAGCCCTTTCCTCCCCATCATAATGCTCATTGCCTACATCCCTGTAACAAAAGGCAAGTTTACAAGAGAATAGCAAAACAAATTTATTAACGTGCATAAGCATAGGAGTCATACCAAAAAAAGAAAAAGAAAAAAAGAAAGAAAACTCAAAGAGCCAGATGGCTGATACTTAAATAACCTCCTCACTGGGGAGAGGGAAATGGGGGAGGTTGTAAATGAATGGGCCTGGAAGACCAGACAGTGTTTTGTAAATGATTCCCTTTAGTTGCTGAATGGGACCAAAGGACAAACAATAGCCTGTGGACAAGTTATGAGAGGTGAAGACCCGCCTGTGTAACAGCGAGACCATGTCTCAATTGAAAAAGAAAAACAACAACAACAACAAACAGAGGTAAGATGAAAACTGAAAAAAGATTTCTCAATTTTTTTAGTTAAAGATTTAAACATATTTGACTACAAAACTTGGCAATATTTACCTATACTTCAAATTTAAAGCTTTGTGTTTTTTCCTGGTGGGCAAATATTTCACCTCCCCAGCATTTGGCAAATAAAGCCTTTTGGGAAACCAGCTAGCAAGATGCTGCACCACCATAACTGTCAGTATGATGGAAATCAGTGTATATCCAACATGGCCCTTTTGCACTTATTTAGTCTTTCATCCAGTCTTCACTGACTAAAAATCTGGACACATACGATGTTCGCTTTGTCTTCATGTTTTCAATACAAAAATAGAGATATTAAAAATATGGCTTCAGGAATAAGAGTGGTTTAGGCCCTTGTACAAGTTGCAGCTTATCACATTTAAATCCATTCATTAAATACATATGTACTCAGTGTCTTCTAAGTACTTGTCATTCTTCAGGTTGCTAGGAACATGGTAGTGGTCATGACAGGTAAGTCCTTACCTTCAAGGGTAGTTATACCATCATGTCAGAGAAAATAATGAATAGATAAAAATATACACATATAAGGTCAGGACTATGAAGAAAAACTAAGCCCACTAAAAGAACAGAGAAGGTATGTTCAGATTTGGACTCTTTCAGTCTTTAATCTTTTAGATCTTCATAATAGAATAACACCCAGAAATTAGGAAGTCTTTGGAGAAATTAGTGATCTTCTGATAGTATGAAAAACAAAACAAAAACCTAAAAGATATAAAGAAAAAACTACCAGAGATAGAAAAGAAGATATAAAAAGGAAGAGCCAAAGAATCTGCAATTCAGATTGGAAGATGGAGAACTATGAGTGATAAAGTGAAATATTATCCTGGATTTAGATTATAATAATCTGGGCAGAACACTTAGTAGAACACAGCAGTTTAGATTGACTTTTTAGTTGAGGGAGGGTAAGATTGAGGATGACAAGATTCAGAGTCTCCTGTAAATAATTATTATGTTAAGCAATTAAGAATATGTGATCTGTGTAACAGTGTTGTGTGTATACTTACATGTGTGCCTAAGGGTACAGTCTGTGTCAGTGCATATATGCGTGCATATGAGTAAATACATATGTGGGTACACTTTTTTTTTTTTTAGACAGAGTCTCGCTCTGTCACCCAGGTTGGAGTGCAGAGGCGCAATCTCAGCTCACTGCAAGCTCCGCCTCCTGGGTTCACGCCATTCTCCTGCCTCAGTCTCCCGAGTAGCTGGGACTACAGGTGCCCGCCACCATGCCCAACTAATTTTTTTGTATTTTTAGTAGAGACGGGGTTTCACTGTGTTAGCCAGGATGGTCTCAATCTCCTGACCTCGTGATCTGCCCCCCTCGGCCTCCCAAAGTGCTGGGATTACAGGCGTGAGCCACCGCACCCAGCGTGGTCTCACTTTTATGCAGGTGCATCTATGGGCACATGTGCACATTCATGTATTATCTTAAAAACTGGCACCAAAATTTCTTTTAAGGAGTGTTTAGAAAGACTTAATGGGGCATATAGATATGAAAAGGCAAGTTCCACAGCCACATCTGGAAAACAAAACAGAACACCACCACCAAAAAAAAAGAGGGATAGGGTTGAATATTTCTGCATAAAACAATAGAAGATTGGGGGCAGGAACAAGAGGTGGAAGAGTTAGAAAAATGGAGAAGAGTGCTTTTACTATGGGAAATATTCAAGGGATGTATTTTTAAAAGTAGGGATATCTAATAAATTGTAAAATGCTTACAATGCTACAATGTGAACCTCTTTTGATATCCCCTTCAAAATGTCTGCTCCACACACAGAGCATCACATATGTGGTTTATATGTAGCTGGCTGAATTTCTTTCCTTTCTCTCTTTCTTTCTTTCTTTTTTTCTTTCTTTCTTCTTTCCTTCTTTCTTTCTTTCTTTCCTTTCTTTCTTGGAAATCATAAAAAAGAACAGAGTTCCACATCCACTTCAAAGAAATATGGAATGAGGATAGTGAGAATAAATCATAAACTACACTAAATTTTTGGAGATATCAGCTCAAACTTTAAACTTGGAATATGCATTAAACATTCTTCTGCAGGTTGTGAAATGGGAGTCGAGCTGATTTTCTCTAGATCTCAAGAGGCAGGCTTGAGTGTCATATGTATAGTGTATAGTGTATTTAAGTATAAGATGTAAAATTTTTCCTCAACCCATACTTCTCCCTTAACTGGCCACCAAATTGTACTGACTCTACCTATCAAAGAATTTTTATTCTTCTAATTAGCTTCATAGCCAGAGTCATTTGCTTATTCAGGTTGCCATAATCTCTCTCCTAGATTAATATAATTCAATCCTATCCTGCCCTTGTGTATCTAGTCTTCAATTCCTTCCCCACATTGTAACCAGACAGATCTTTCAAAATCACAAATCTGATCATGCCACCTTCCCCCATTCCATCCACATCTTCTCTTCCAGTGACTCCCCAATACATGTTAGATAACTCTTTAACATGGGCTGCTTTTAATAAGCTCTGACTCATCTCTTGCCAACCTCCACCTTGAACTCTCCTCCAACCAGACTGAACTACTTCCAGTTCTCCAAATAAGTCATGTGCTCTCTTCCTTTTTGTTCTTAGAACAAGCTGTCTTCTCCACCTGGAAGCTTTTCCCCACCCTAACCTATTCCCTTATCCCAGCCTTGCTAACTCCTAGTCAAGGGTAGATGGCATTTTCTCTAGGAAGCCTCCTTTGATTCCACAAAACTAGGCCATCACCCCTCCTATCTGGCCCACATTGCCCCTCCTATCTGGCCCTCTTATCTATCTGTGTCTCCTATTAGACTGCCAGCTCCAAAAAAGCAGGGAATGAGTCTAACTTACTGTTCCATCTACAGATCTTAGGATAGAAACATATATTACCTGAATGATCACTGTGGATAGTGCTGTATTTTACTCACGATATAAAGTGTAAATATGATTTAAAATTTAAGAGCACTACACAAACTGTAACATTATCTATGCTCCACCCATTCTAGGGAATCCTTGTGACACACCACATGCCGGGAATTTCCCAAAGTGGGAAAATCACAAGGAAGATAGGCTATCCATCAAAAAAATGACAGCTCCAGAGGCCCATACCCCTTCACATGGAGGAAACTGTCCATCCTCGGAGGATAAACCTACTTTGGGTAATATTGAGATAGCCACTCACCCAATGACACAGCTTTGAAGAACTTTTCAAAGTACGAAGATACAACTTCATCTGGAGACAACCCATGTTGTGGAATGGGAAGGGGGGTGTTACAGAAAATAAATGATATGCTTGGATTCAGACTTGAGATTTGGGGCTGGGAAGCAGAAGCTCCTGGCAAAACATCAACCATTAGCCCACACAAATGACCCTGTTCAGGATGCAGGAGAGGAAATAAATTGAAGACTAGAAGCCCTACTCCTCCACCTCCATGGGACTCCACAAAATCCACCATCTGGTATTAAATGTGTGCACACACACACACCACTTACAACATAAAAATCACCAAGTCGGTATTGTTTTCCTTTTCTTCGTCCACACTGATGACTATAAATGCTTTTTTGAATAAAAGGAAGCACATTTGTTCTAGAAAGTAAATGAAAAAAAAATGGAAAGTTATTTAGCTTCTCTCGGAAGTGAACATCTCCAGAGTTCTAACAATGTTTAATGGCATACCTATTTTTCCCAAATTGTCGATATTCATAAATTGTAAGGGATTGGTCATGAGTGAAAAAGAACCCAATGAGCTCTCTGCAAGCATCACGTCCATTACTGGAAAAATAGAATGAAATCAAACATCTTCAAATAGAATAATTTTTAGATGAATTAACTAAAAAACATGTTCATCTCAAGAAGGATAGCTAACTCTCTTATGTATGTGGCAATGAGTGAAGGTTATGGGAAACTGTAGGGAAAACACAAAAACATAGCTTGCTGAAATGTCCACTAAAAGTTAGATTTGAATGCAGAAAAAAATAATCTTACACTGACATTAAAAGTGGATATATTTACGATGTACATTATTAATTCAACATAGACTTTTAAGACAATGTGAATTATCTTTAAAAGTGTTGAGGTTGCAAGAAGGCACCCATAGATACAAATTTATTATCTTTTATTGTCATAGAAAGCTTTAAATTCACTAAACAAATAAAATAATTTAAAATACACATTTTATCAGTAATATACAAAGAACATCAAGTAGAATTATTTATTACTGGAAATCTATAAGACTGAAATAATAGATTTAAAAATTATTTTCCTTGTCACTTACTGCACCTATCAATAATCTGTTAAATCATTAAGATAAAATTAAATAAAGCAGCTTATAAAACATTAGTTTTCAGTTTACAAAACTCTAGTAGTAATATAACTCTAAAAAATTCACTGCTGTTACTTTTTAAAAAATATTTAAATTCGCTTTAAAGATAACTTTTAATTAGAATGTTTTTCCTACAGATTCATATTTCCTATATTTTTATAACAGATTAATAGCTATTATTTTAAAATGTTTGTTCTAAATTCACGTATTTTTATTTAAATGACACAAACCTATATAATCTCATTACTGTCATTTCTATTCAAAAAGAGAATACGTTTTTATAATCATAGGATTAAAAATTTTAATAAAATCACAATTACCGTGATACGATCCTACCATCAAACTGTAATTTATGAGAAAGCACATTTTCAGTTAATGTAGAATGAGTTCTTATCCTGTTAAGAAATACATTTTGTCAGTAATTTTTCAAGATACCTATAACTTGATGGAAATTGTAAATGTACAAAAAAAGTTATGTTAATATTTTGAAACCACACAGATTGGATAACAATAAAGGTAAAAAAAAACTCTTTTTTTCAGATTGCTAATTGTAGCAGACACAAAAGAAATAACTCTGAGATATAGTATATAATACGTGAATGACTTTTATATTAGAATCTATAGCATCAAAGTGCTATAAAAGTAAATACTGAATAGAGATACAACATTTGCGACTGGCACTGTTGCAGGGCTATCTGAATGCCATTTCTAACCCTCTTCTTCTTTGCTTCCCTCACACCATAGAATTTGCTCTTAGCGGCCGGGCGCGGTGGCTCACACCTGTAATCCCAGCACTTAGGGAGGCCGAGGCGGGTGGATCACGAGGTCAGGAGATCGAGACCATCTGGCTAACACGGTGAAACCCCATCTCTACTAAAAATTACAAAAAATTAGCCGGGCGTGGTGGTGGGCGCCCGTAGTCTCAGCTACTCAGGAGGCTGAGGCAGGAGAATGGCGTGAACCCGGGAGGCGGAGCTTGCAGTGAGCCGAGATCGCGCCACTGCACTCCAGCCTGGGCGACAGAGCCAGACTCCGTCTCAAAAAAAAAAAAAAAAAAAAAAAAAAAAAGAATTTGCTCTTAGCATCTTGCAATTAAGGATGAGTAAGGGACCTAGTTCTGCCAGTAAGCTTCCAGGAAAGACTTTCTTTTGTCCTGGTAAGAGAGTGGCATGAGAAGAGTTCCTGCCTGTGAACGTGGCAGGGATGTGATGCTAGGAGCCACTATAGCCACCATGAGATCAATCCACCACATCAGAACGACCAAAAAGATATAGGAAAGCCAGCCTAGAGCGGTAACATCACTAAGCTACTGAACCAAAACCAGTAAATGCCTACCTCCAAGCAGCTAACTATATAAGAAAAATAAATCCTGACTTGTTTAAGCCACTATCAATCGGTTTTCAGTGATGTGTAGCTGAAAACATTCCTTACCAGAATAACTAAAGAGTGGGGAAGAGTGCTGAATGAAGTTCGAACTTTGTCACAGATCAATAGGTTATTTAATCTTTATGGCCTTCAGACAGTACTGAATGATCTCATAAAGGCTGCCAGCCCTAAAATTCTATTTAACAATATAAAGCAAAACCAAAACACCCTACTGCCAATAATCTCCTTTATATTAAGAGATCTGAAGACTAAATGATATATTTCTCCTTTGCTTCACAAATAATTTAATAATATTCCTTCCATAAAACTGCAGGTATAATGAAATGGCAGTAATGTAATTAGTAAGTAAGTGTGTGGGTCACTGGGATCTTGAAAGCTACACCTCTATAAAATCTAGGTATCTACAAAAAGGAAGCAGGGAACAGGAAACGTGAGCCTGCAAACCAAATGAGAGTTTGTAAGCACAGAGTAGAGCCATGGGAGTGTAACCATCTCAATTCAGTTTAATCTGCTGGGATTAATGTGTTTATTGAATGCCCACTATGTGCCTGAAACAATTCTAAATGCTGAGACAATAACAGCAACAGTACAGCTACCACTTATTGAGAATTTCCCAGATACTAGTCATTGTTAAAATCACTTTAATGTGTATTGGTTTATTTAATACTTATAATAACTCTGAGGTGTTATTATTCCCATTTTTCAAATAAATTTTACAGAAACATAGACAGATGAGTAAATTGTCCAGGGCCATATGATTAGTAAATGGCAGAGCTAGAAAAAACTTTGCTCTTAACCATTACATTATATTGCTTTTCAATAGTAAACAGAACTCACTTTAACAGTGACAAATGGAAGTAATAGCTTCAAGGGCCCTATAGTCTTCTTGAAAAGATAAAAGTAAATATGTATTTACATTATAAAATGCAAAGTGCCATGTTGGGTTTTAGATGCCCAATTGCTTTTAGGAACCCAAGTTCTCTACCAATACATAAAGAAGAATCAGAAAGACTGAAGATTAAAGTATGAATTTAGTATTGATAAAGCTACTAGAAACCATGGCTTAGGTATGCAGCAACCACAAGCTACTCCTTACCACTATAATTAAACAGACTAAGCCACTCATTTCCACTGGGGAGGGACCCTCTAAAACAATGCACAGGGCAGAATGTGCTGCTGCCTCCCAAACAAAGGGGAGAGGAAGGGCTGTACTACTCACGCCAATTCCTGCCTCTAAATTTATGTAGCAGAACTCTCTCCTCCTCTGGGAAAAATAAATGGGGCATAAGAGGAGTGAAAGCTAAAAATTCAATAATTCTAATCGATACCCCCACAGGATTTTTCATGGACCTAGATTAGCTTTAAACAAGCTGTAGGTATTTACTCTAATACAACGCAATACTAATTAAGATAGGATAATACTGACACAGGGAACAGATGATACTGAAGAAAAAGCCTAGAAACCAACCATGCATTTGGCATGCATATAAATATGTCATGTCATAACCATGCATATAACAACTTGACATATGACATATGTGGCATTACAAGTCAGAGGGAAAATGATTTAGTGGTAGGCAGAGATTATTTTTAAGGAATATACAAAGGACATTAACAATACAGGGAAAGAGGAAAACTGGCCTATGTTAAAACTCCTACTTCTAATTTTAGTTTTTGAGACAGATATAATCAAGAGAATGAAAAGGTAACTACAGAGTAGGAAAAGATATGTGCGACAAATATAGTTGAAAAAGGATTCATTTCTAAAACATGTAAATAAGATCCACAAATAAATATTAAGAAGACAGACAACTCAACAGGCTTGAATGGAAATTTTGTATGAAGATATCAAAATGGCCTATATACATATGGAAAAGTACTCAACTACATTAGTCTCCAGTGAAATGCAAATTAAAATCACTAATACACATCCATAAGAAGAACTCAAATAAAAAAAGGCAGACAATACCAAGCTCTGGCAAAGATATGGTGCAACAAGAACACTCATACTGCTACTGGTGGGAGTGTAAATTTCAGCAACCAGTTGGGAAAGCTATTTGGCTGCATCTTTCAAAGCTGAACATATGGATACTAAGTGGTCCAACAATTCTACTTCTAAGTATATACTCAGCAGAAATGAGTACATATGTTTACCAAAAGGCATGAACAAGGAAGTTCATAGCAGCACTATTCACAAAGAGCCAAATATCTATCAACCTCTGAATAGATAGGTTGTGGCATGTGGTATAATGAAATACTATACAACAATGAGAATAAAAAAAGACAACTACAAATAACACCATGGATAAAACTCACAAACCTAATGTTGGGTAAAAGAAGACAAACACATTTCACTATGTATATCAAAATATCATGTTGTACATCTTATATACAATTAAATTAACAAATAAGTGCCATTAGAGAGAAAAAACAAGCTGGACACAGAGTCTAGATTTCTTGTAATTTCATTTACATAAATTTCATAACCAGGCAGTTCTAATCTATGATATTAAGATAGAGAGGTTAACCTGGTATAGCAGGGGAAATGAATAGTAACTGGGAGGCAGCATAAGGGGAGGTTCGGGGTACTGGCAATTGTCTGTTTCTTGATCTGAGCATTTGGTACATGAGTGTTGTTCTGTTTTTGATAATTCCTATGTTGTGCACCTAAAATTTATTCACTGTGAATGTACGTTTTATTTCAATGAAAGTTGACTTTTAAAAAGGACAGTTTAGATGTGTGGTACATAAATGACGACCTCCTCTGGCCCAACATGTCTACATCCTAATCCTTGGAACATGGGAATACATTATATGGTAGAAGGGACATGGCATATGTGATAAATTAAGAACATTAAAATGGAGAGATTATTGGGATTATCTGGGTAGATTCAACGCACTCACACATGTCCTTATTGGAGGAACATAGAGAGAAATGTATCTATAGAAAAAGAGTGCCAGAGTGATGCAGCATAAGACCAGCTATTGAAGACTTTGAAGATGGAGGAAGGGGCCATGAGCCAAGGAATGAAGGCAGCTTCTAGAAGCTGCAAAAGGCAAGAAAATAGCTTCACCCCCACTAAAACCTCTAGAAGGAATGTAGCCCTATCAATCCCTTGATTTTAGGCATCTGAACTCCAGAACAATTAAACAATAAATCTGTGTTTTAGAATACTAAGCTCATGGTAATTGTTACAGCAGCAATAGGAAACTAACACATAATGCTTCCAAATATTTAAATGGATAAAAGCAATGGCTTTCAGAAAATAAGAATGGGACAAAACGATTAAAAAAAGATAAGAAAGTACTAAGAATTACAGTAGTCTGAAAATATAAAAAAGCTACTGTGGGTACTGGTAGATTTTTTTATGTCTACTAAAGCCGAGGTTAGATGTCAGTGAAACTGTTGAAGAATTTAAGTGGACAGCATCAGAGGATTGTAAAAGATCATACCAATTCTAAGGTTGAAAAAGCTACAACGTAAAATGCAAAACAAATCTTATAGTCAACACCAAGTTTTAATATGCCAATGAGATTTAGCCAGTATATATAGCACACGTAAAATTTCTCGGTAACTATATGATACATTTTCACATCCATTATCTCCAAAGGTTGTGGCTTTTTTTCCCCTAAATTACAAATAAAAAATCTGGAGGGCAAAGAGAGTAAAATAAGGTATTGCCCCTAATATCATGAAGTAGCAGAACTGGGAGCTGAACTCAAAAAATTCCACTTTTCTTTATATAGAAAAAAGTGAAACAAACACAAAAGCTCCAGCTAGACACAGAAGTACATTTTAAAAATACTTTTAGAACATAGTGCATCCTCATTTTATGTAATTAAAATCTTCTTACTTTGTTTCATGTAGTGTTCTTTTTCTAAATCGAAGAGGTGTCATCTTTGAATCTGGAAGGATATGATCACTTTCTTTTTGCTCAATGGCTAAATTTTGCTCTGGATCACTGATGACAGCCCTATACAGGAAAATAAAAAGTCCAACAATTAAATATGATCATGCATTACTTTAAAATTCACATATTTATAAGCAGTTCTAAAAGCTCATATACCAAATGCAAATTTACAACACTGTCAGAATATTTTTATTAAATAAATTTATTAAAAAATATTTTCCATAAGAAAGTAAATATTCCTATCTCTTTTTCCAGAAGTATTATCCAAAACGGAACTGAAATTTCGGAGGGAGCTAAGAGCTCCATGTTTTTATTTTACTATTCTTTAAACAAGCAGACACAGTGCTGGTTTCTGATCATGTGGGAGGTGTGTAGGAGAGAACACAGGTAAAGTAAAATAAAAATATAAAGCCATAAATGCCACAACAGAAATTCAATGAACAAACATAGAAGAGAATACCTTAATTCCTAGAAGACAGAGAGAAGAGTTTATGAAAGGCATCCTAGAAGAGGAGATATTTGCACTGATTCTTAAAAGGTGAGAGTACAAGACTTCCTCTCCAGGAGTCGGCGGAGGGAGGGCAGACTCAAAGTGCTCCTGGACGCAGAGGCTCTTGTCAGAGGGCACAGACCGGTTGGAACAAAGTAAGGATCTGAGCGACCCCAACTTTGCAGCCGAGGCCTCCAGCTCCGAGGTGCATAGCAACCCTAGGGTTCCGGTAGGCGTTCCTCCGTCCGCGACCCTGGCAGAGCCGCAGAGCCCTCCTCCAGACCCGACCACTGCCCCAGGCCCCGAGCGACCGGAAGGCTCAGCAGCAGGCCGCGGAGAAGGGCGGCGCCCACCAGGCCCCTAGCACTGCCCAGTCTGGCCCGGCACAGCTGCTGCAGAAGGCGCACGACGAGCTCGTGTGGTACATGCGGGTCAAGGACCAGAAGAAGATGATCATCTGGTTTCCAGACATGGTGAAGGATGTCGTCGGCAGCTACAATTAGTGATGGAGGGGCATATTCAGGCTCACCAGCCTCATCCTCGCCCAGGTGTTCGGGATGCACCGCAGAGGCTGACCAGGCTGCACCTGAGGCTGTCCAACCTCCACACCATGAAGTCTGCGCTGGTGAAAGCGCTGGAGCCCGAGGAGCATGGACAGGGTGGCTCTGAGCAACAGCAGGGTCCTGACAGGCCTCCTGCTCATGATCCTGAGCCTCATTCTACTTGAAGGGCCGCGGCGCCAGAGACAGCGCCGTCTAGAACGTGCTGCGCGTCCTGGGGCTGCGGCCCTGGAAGAAGCACTCCACCTTCCACATTCGGGAACGTGCGGAAGCTCATCACCGAGGAGTTCGTCCAGCAGAATTACCTGAAGTACCGGCCCGGCCCCTACGTGGAGCAGCTGGTGTTCCCGGGCCAGCCGCGAAATTACGAACATGCAAATCATGGAGTTCCTGGCCAGGCAGGCCTTCCGGATACTGGGAAGCTATGGAGGAGGCCAGAGCTCTGCGGGAGGCTAATCCCACTGCCTACTGCTCCTGTAACAGTGTCTCTGAGGACTAGCAAGGTCTGGAGGCCGGTGAATGGTTTCTGACCCTCACCAGGCCTGTGGAAGGGTGGGGGTGGGTCACTAGAGTATTCAGGATTTACAGTGCAGTATTCACGTGTAACTTTACAGTACAGTGCTTTTATAACTTTTAATGCAATGTTGTCATTTGGGTACTACTGTGTAGTGTTTAGGACATACGCATGTTTGTTTATAAGTAAGTTTGGTTGGCGCTTTCGCTTTCGTGCTACCTTTCTTGGATTTTTGTCCCAGAGACGTGCTAAACTGATGAAATATATTGAGAAAGTTTCCATCTTATTCTTTCGTATGGGACTGATGATGTGTATTGGGGTAGGCTGCTCCTGGAAAGTTTGGAAGAACTCACCAGCAAAGCTGGCCTAACCAAGAGAAAAGTCAAGGCCCCTCTCTTCATGACCTTGCTGGGCACAGAAAACATCCTCGCAGAGTGAACTGATTTGAACGGAACTGGCCTCAATGTGGGCACTTGGCACACTTTACTAAACACATTTTCAACCCCACCAGGAGTCAATGTTAAAGTAAACATTAAAGATTCTTGTGATATAATCCAAAAAAAAAATTGACTACAAGTTAGCACTCAGAGGAGAAGGAGTAAGGGTACCACAAGCAGAGGAACAATATGTGTACGGCCACAGGAGTAGACAGCACAGTGAGGACACACCTGAGGACTGAACACATTGTAATGGAGGAGAGTACAGACTCTGCAACTAGACTGCCTGGATTCAATCCTTGCCTGCCGCGATAATTAGCTGTGTAGCCCTATCTGGTCATTTGGCTCTGGGCCAAAGTTTTCTCATTAATAAAAGAAAGAATATTGGTGTCTCCCACACAGAAAGGCTGTGAAGATTAAATAAATTAGTTAACATATACATATTGTTTAGGAGAGTACCTATAATCTACTAAGTATTATAGAAGCACTCAATAGTTGAGGCTTTGCCTCCGAATTCCCCTTTTACTGCATATTTTACTGAATAGGAATAAATATAGAGGCATGATAACCCATCAGGTGGCATTGCAATGGGCTAGAAAAGTGATAGTAAGGGTCTGCACTAAGGTGGCAGTAAACACACAGTTTGATCAAGGAAAAAAGATCCAGTGTTCCATAGATCAGTAGGGTGACTATAGTTACAATAATATATAGTACATTTTAAAGTAGCTAGGAGATAATAATTCAAATGTTTCTAACATACAGAAAAGACAAATATTTAAGGTTATGGATATTCCAAGTACACTGACTTGATCTTTACAAATTATATTGTTAAATTATCTCATGTACCCCAAAGCTATAAAATACATAAATACAAGAGAACACAAACAAAATATAATAATAAGTAAATAAATAGACAAAGTAGAAAGAACAAATTCAAGAAACACCAACAGAACTAGAAAACTAACTGGATTTGAGGTCACCAAGTAGAAAGATCTATAGTAACTGAACAATGTGAAATGAGATTCAATTAATAATATAAGGAACATAGGTGTCATTGTGTTTTTAAGGCAGAAGAATAGGGTCTGGAGGCAGGAAACCTAAGGTCCATTCACACTGACTTCCTAGAACTAAATCAAAAGGAAAATCCCAACTTTCCACACCCAAGTAACAACAGGACCAGAGGCTACTCCCTTTGCAACCACCCCCTTTTCCTGTGTGGCAGATGAAAAATTGAAAATACCTGATTGGTCCCCTCCCAAGACCAATCAGGATGGTTGTGGGCCAAGTCTAAATTTGCATAGAAGGCTAACTTTGTAACTCCCTTCAGCCTCTGATTGGTCACTTTCCATGACCAATCAGATGTTTGCATAGGGTGCAACTTTGTAACTTCACTTCAGCTTCTGATTGGTCACTTTCCACAACCAATTAGACTGATTGCAGGCCACTTCTTCATTTACATAGACAAAGTAGACAAAGTATGTAAATAGATAAAGTAGAAAGAAATGTATGTATGTATTTGTCATTACATACATTTACATGTACACCAAGTAACCAATGGGAAACCTCTAGAGGGTATTTAAGCCCCAGAAAATTCTGCAATCAGGCCCTTGAGCCACTTGCGTGGGCTGCTCCCACCCTGTGGAGTATACTTTCATTTTTAATAAATCTCTGCTTTTGTTGCGTCATCCTTTCCTTGCTTTGCTTTTGTGTTTTGTCCAATTCTTTGTTCAAAGTGCAAAGAACCTGGACACCCTCCACTGGTAATAGTTTTGATTTGTTATTGTTGTTATTAATATTATTTTAAGGGTAAGAATGACAGGTTATCCTCATATCCTTATGAGGCAGGAAAATAGGGGAAATGAGGCAGGAAAATAGCAAAAGGAATTAAAAGTTGGATAAAGAACAGAATGAGTAAAAGCATGAGAGCAGAAACAAGGTGAAGGGGTGACTGAGCAAGAAGCGAGATAAGAAGCAGAGGTTCAGCAGCCAAAACAAAAGTGAGATTAAAAAAAATGAGTAAGGCGCTTGCAGTGAGCCGAGATCACACCACTACACTCCAGCCTGGGCGACAGAGCGAGACTCGGTCTCAAAAAAAAAAAAAAAAAAAAAGGGGGTAAGGAGCCCCCATGGCCAGCTACGTTTGGACCAAACCTGTCAGGGGCAGCTCCTCAGAGATGGGCATGCTCATTAAAAAGAAGTATGCTTAAAATGACCCAATATGGTAATTAGCTACTTAAGGTTCATGCATATGGACTGCATATCACGCATGTACTTAGAATTATGGGATGGAGATGACACACAAGCACACAAGGGCCAAATTAACTAAGCAGCATCTATCAATCAAAAGGCAGACACGGGCTAGAGATTAGGCATCCTTGGGAAGAGAAGAAAACAAAAAAAACACATAAAAGGACCCAAAGTACCAAACTAAGGTAGATTTCATCTCACAGAGCTCAGTCCGCTCCCCCACTCCAAGAGTGTAATATTTCACTTAATACACTTCTGCTGCTTTGCTTCGCTATCTGCGTGTGTCTCGTCCAGTTCTTTGTTCAGGACACCAAGAACCTGGAACTACACGGCACCATCCAGTAACACTTACTTTCCTCCTTAACCAGGTTGGGTTCCATGATTCATCAAAATATAATCCTGTACACACCTTTTAACAATCTTGCCCTCTCTGGCTTTTCCTACTTGCCTGACAATACCCTAAGTCTGAATAAATTTGATGATTAACTGGATAAAAGAATAAATGAGTAGACATTTTTTAAAGGGTATCATGAACCTTCAAAACTATGAAAATGAAACAACAATTCAAAGATAGAAGAACTTATGAATTTATTGAGTTATTTCAATTGCTGGAACATTCAGGAAAAGCTTTAGTCATCTCTACCATATACTGTAGATTCTGTTCATTTGTGTGCCAAGTTAGGAACTAAATCTTCTTTTTAAATTGAGCATTAAGATATTTTTTAAACCCCCAAATGAAAAAGGCTGGCATTTATAAAAAAGTGGCACCTATTCTATTCTCACACTTTATTTATCAGTTCTGTGTTAAATATACATACACAGAATGTTAGAGTTATAAGAAATCTTAATGTTAATTTGGCAGAAGCAAAAATCAAGACATAGAGAAGGAAAATATGAAACCTCAAACAGCAAATTAGTCACATAGCTAAACCTAAAACCAAATTCTGCTGACTGCATTTAAGTCCTCTTTTCCAGTTCATTCATTCATTTACCTATTCAACAAGTTTTACTATACAGCTACTAGACTAGGCAATGGGAGTGTAATAGTGAGCAAAACTTCCAAAGTGCTCTGCCCTCATGAAGCTCACATTCTGAAGAGGCTGAAAGATAATTAACATGATAAACAGAGAAAATACAACATGAATTACATGCCCCTATGGAAGAAAAAAAGAAATGGTAAGAAGATACAAAGTTTTGAGAAAGGCATCATAAATTTATTTATGGTCAATTTATTTATTTAAATGTATTTATGGTTTATTTATGGTAAGGCCAAAGTAGGCCTCACCAAGGTGACTTCTAAGTAAAGATATGAGCTAAAATGAGTAAGCAGACATATAAATTTCTGGGGAAAAGGCATTCCAAGAAGAGGGGAAAATAAATGCAAAGTACCTAAGACAGGAATGGAACCTGGTATGTTCCAGAACAGGGATAAGTCAAATGGCTAGAGGAGAATAGGTAAGAGGGAGAGAAGTCCAAGGTCCAAGGTCCAATGGTGGGCTTGGATAGACTGTGTTATTGGCCTGAATTTTTTAGTAATCCTGATCCATTTCCTTGCTATGGCCTCATTAAAGGTGGTATGCACTTTCTCACCCCTTGACCTTGAGCTTTTGACTTGCTTTGGTCAGTTACACACAGTTATACGACTCTGCTAATCTCAACTGAACTAAGTCATGCAAATGCGGATTGGTTGGAAATCTGTTTATCTAGGATGGTTTCAGCTAAGTAGCTCAGTGGCATTTGTAGAAGGACCTTTTTCTTGAGACTACCAGGCTAGCCAAGCAGTGTTCTTCTCTCAAAGGTAGCAGAAGCACTAAAGGGCAAATGGAAACACATGAGATCATTTAAAGCCTAAGATCAAACCTAAGACCATTGCTTTTGCTCATATACAACTGGTCAAAATAAAAAGTAAGGCCCTTCCAGCCATGGCAAGCCTTGATAGCTAACCTAAAGACACATGAGCAAAAATTACTGTTCTTTTAAGCTACTGAGTTTTGTGGTGACACATAATTAATACGTGAGCCTCGTAGGCTTCACTATGATTAAAATGAGAAATTCCTGGAAGGTTTTATCTGGCTTGCCTTTTAATGGATTAACTACGGGGTGCCGGGTTGAAAATAAACCAGTAAGAGGCAAATGCAGAAACAATGAGGCCAGTTAAGCAGTCCCTGAAATAATCCAGGAGACACACAAAATAAGTTTGAACAGGATGGTGGCAGCAGAGGGAGTAAATCTATGTTGATAGCAGGACTGAGCATGTTTGTTGACAAGCTGGATATAGTATTTGAGAGAAAGAAAGGGATCAAAATATCACCAGGATTTTAGGTCTTAGTAACATGAAGAATTGAGTTACTATGGAGGAAAATTAAAGATTTGGTCATGGAGGAAGAGAGGGCAATAAAATTTCAGACACCCAGATTGGAGAAAGTTAAATTGAAATCTTAGAGAAGCATCAGAATATAGCTGGTTTTTAAAGGCATGATACTGGATGAGATCACTTAAAAAGCAAACACAAAAGAGGTCCAATAACTGAGCTGTTGGGCACACCCACGTAGGGAAGATGAAGAAGAACCAGGAGAGATTCTGAGAAGGGGAGAAAGGTAGGAGAACAGTCACGTGTCACGTGCAGGAAGCCATGCAGGAAAAAAAAAAACAAAAAAAAAAACAAAAAAAAAAAAAAAAACCTGCCTCAAAGAAAATAAGGTTTCAAATGAGACAACTGCTGCAGATGGGTCAAGTAAACGAGAACTGAGAAATCATTAGTCTAGCAATATGGATGTCACTACTCATGGAAAAAAGTTGTTGGAGGCATGGATGGTGGAGGTGAAAACACTAAGTTCATGAGACAATGGAAGGAGGGACATGGGAGACTCTAGGTATAATTATTTCAAAGAATTTACTGAAAAACATGCATGTAGAAACAGCCACCATTATTTCTGTCATGCATTCTTTCTGCCACACAACTAAACAGTTTTTTCAAAGCTAAGTCTTACTTTTTCCTTGAAGTAGATTATTCCAACCTCTTCAGAAATTCTAGCATAGTTCCATATTATCAAGCAATTCAGCACTGCATATGTTAAAACTTTAGTTTTCTAAGGGGTTTTAAAATTCTTAACAGTCTCACAGTTCTTGAACTGCACCAAGGAACCCTGAGGTACCACAGTGAACTCACAGGGGTACTATGGGATATTTTTAATTTTTGAGGGAAACTCAGTGATACTTGACATCACTTGCACATCAAGTAAACTACTAGTTCAGCCTCAGGGTAGTTCACAGTTTCAACAAGACAGCACACTATACTCCTTCAATGATGTTACATCTTTGCAGAGCTGAGTTTTCTATAGTTGCTATGATAAAAAGCAAATATCAGGTGAAAATCAATATGGAATATAAAGTGAAAGTGGCAGCATTGTAAATGATTCTAGGATTTGAGACACTGTGCAGTGCCCATAAGATGCATACAGATCCTTAGTAAGAATAAAGTAAGGATATCTTCTTTCAATTTATGTGTATTATTTTTTTAAATGGTCATTAGTTGTTAGGAAATAAATATTTATTAAGTTGTTTAGAGAAAAATATTTAACAAATAGAACTGTTAGGTATTTCTATTCGTCTAAGAGTGCTGTGAAAAAAAATGACTAAAACACTAACGGTGCAGTAAACAGAGAAAGTTTGGGAACCTCTGAGTTAGCCACCCTTTAATTGACCAAGGATATGAATGTCATGCATGAAAATAAATTTAATGAAAACTTTCTGAATTGATTTCTATTACCAGTTGCTAATTCTCACCTAGATAAGTGGTCTATCATCACTTGCTCTGCAACAATCTGTTTCTTCTTCTCTGCAGCCACAATTTCCTGGGAAGATTAAATAAAGACAACTTCACCATCCATAAAGCAGAACCATACAATACTTAACACAAAAGTTCTAAAACATAAATTAAATATCTCTGATTTCCGTCTTAGATATAGATGGAAATAGATTACTATTATAGATTATAGATTACTTTCCATCATTACTAAATTTAAATTTCAATCATTTAATCTACAAATATCATTTATTTTCTAAGAAATAATACACTTAAATTTCAGTAAAAATCATCAGAATTTTCATGAGCTGCCTTTGCATTTTATGGAGCAGACTAAAGGAGAAAGAGACTATGGCATCCTTCCACTCTATTCCTCCCCTCAAGAGATGTCCTGCAAAAGGCATCTTAACCTGCTCCAAGAAGGCTACCAACACTGACACAAAATAAGCTTCGTCTAACACTATTCATAGCAAAAGAAGGCAAAACTGAGTTTGAATTGTTTGACCTTTCATAAAATATCCAAAACAAGGAAAAACAAACAAAAACTCTCCTCATCAAAAGTATAATATTTTCTCTGCATATAATGCATCAATAATATTTAATAAACTTTTCTCAATTACTAGCTTGATTAAGCTTTCTTAATACTATTTTTCACTTTTCCAATTCCTCTTAAACTATTTTTACTATTTTTTAGGTCATATCTAACTGAAATACTGGTAATCATTTAATTCAAATTATATTATCCTGCAACTATAATGACTAAAATGTATCTTTAGAAAGGTAAATAAAAGAGGTTAAAAAATTAAGAGGTCAAAATAAAGCTTGTTCTATTTTTAGAATGTAAATTACTGTCATCCCCATTGATCACTCCAATAAATGAAATTAAGATAGAGGCTTTGTAACCTTAGAAAAAGTGCTTTATTTAAAATTGAGACAAAATATCAAATAAGAATGTCTAAAGACATATCATAAAAACAAAAAGTAAAAACTTGTAAGAAAATCGGAAAAGTTGGGCACAATTATTTAAATGCTATTTAGCCTACACTAAATTTAGTTTTTTTGGCTTTTTTTGAGACAGGCTCTTGCTATGTTGCCCAGGCTGGAGTGCAGTGGCACTACCACAGCTCACTGCAACCTCCGCCTCCCAGATTCAAGTGATTCTCATGCCTCAACTTCCCGAGTAACTGGGACTACAGGTGTATGCCACCACGGCTGGTTAACTTTTGTATTTTTAGTAGAGACGGGGTTTTACCATGTTGGCCAGGCTGGTCTCGAACTCCTGGTCTCAAGTGCTCCACCAGCCTCTGCCTCCCAAAGTGCTGGGACTATAGGTATGAGCCACCATGGCCAGCCTAAATTTAGTTTTAATAATAATGTTAAACCAAAATTTAATAAGAATGTTAAAACTAAATTTAACGTAGGTTAAATAACACTCTTATTTAGCCTATATTATAGGCTACATAATGTAGGTTATTTAACACTTTCATTTATTGATAATGTTTAAATTATTATTAAACACTGTTATTTAACATTATTTAAATATTATTTAGCCTACACTGAATCTAGTTTTTTGGTTTGGTAGAAATTCAAAATGTGTAGTTTACACATTTAATATGTCCTATATAAAGCTTATGTTATTTAATACATCTTGTGTCACTCTCTAAGCTCATGATGCTTTATAAGATTTTTATTTAGTAATAAATTTAAAACAGCAATTAAAATGTTTAAAAATTAGCACAACCTCAAAGTAAAGCAAGGTATTTTTTTAATATCTAAGAGTGATTCATAAAGTGGACACTGACTAAAACATTAAAATTATACACAGAAAAGATCCACATCGGCTGAACACAGATGTAAAACCCAGACAGAAACCAAAGAGGGGAGATTAATTAACACCATAGAGCCCATGCAGAAAGCCCATCTTCAGTGTTGAAGCTTGTGGTGGTTTATACTTTGTAGGAAAGGTTAGAACCCGTAGGCACACTGATTTAGAGATCTGTGTAAACATAAAGCAGATTACAAGCAGAAGTGACACTGATGGAAGGATCTGTCAACACTACAAAATGACAAAGGAGCTAGATGAGATGGACACAAAATCCGTAGTTTCACTGCTTCTATTGTCACTTAAGTAGTTTAAAATTAAATAAAGAAGTTTTCACCTACATTTTAAAACAAATAGGTGCTAATTTCAGATGCCCTGAAAGCTTACTCATGTAAACGTTTCCTTAGGGGAAGGAGGAGACAGTTAAATGAGTACTATCAAAATAAAATAAAACTTGATAATGAATTTAGATACATTGCTCCTAATAATGTAGTTGTAAGGAAAAGAAATCCATTAACATCCAGATTGCTTTGAATTACATCAAGAACAATACCCAATGAGCCTTAATTATTGCAATACCCATTTCAAATATAACTTCAGGGATATATCAAAATAAGCCTGAATTGAAACACTATTTTCCTTATAAAGTAGCTTTTTTAATTTTTAGGATAATCCTGATAATATTCATTCTATTAAACATAAATATCCAAGTAATAATAGGCACCAAAAAAATAATGTGCATGTGGTTTAAGTAAAAGAACTCACAAATTTGCAACTTGGGACATCCACAGAAAATCAGTTCACGTAGTCCAGAGATTGATTATATATTACTGTTAATTCAGAACATAATTGATTCTGGATGATTGTGACCCAAATAAAATATATATTGAATTGCCACTCAATGATAATAGTAATGTAACTAACTAAATCCATATTGCTTTGTTACTATTTATGCTATTGAAACCAGAGTTTTCCCAACTTGTGATCCACCACACTGGCATTCCAACAATCTGTTATAAGTATGCCTAAGACATTAATCACTTGGGTTTCTGGGGTGGTCAGTGACCTCCAACTCCAAGCAGCTTGGTCCCTTACCCCAGAACATTACAGAAATGTTTTAATTATCTGTTTGTGCCAGAACTGGTCTAAACCATACTTGCCAACCTAATTGATTCTGTAAAAGACATAATTTAAAGTTAATATTGAGCATCTGGAGTTTCTTTTCCTAAAAAAGAAAAATAACTTATTTCTGGAATTTCCTTAACTGGCCTGAATTTATCTAATGTTAGGAGCTCATTACTTCAAAAAAATAACCAGGCTGCTTTTTTGGGGGAGGGGGTGACACCAAATAAACTCACTAACATAAATAGCAGCCAACTCACATTTTGAACAGTATAAACTAAATTTTTCAAACACCTAAAGATTCCAGACAATTTTTTTACAGAATATATACCAAATACAATTCAATCATTTATAAAAATGAGGACTCAATTTTCCATTAATGAATATTCACCCGAGTTCAAATTCAACTGTTGCAATTATTTATTCCATTCAGTCTTTAAAATCTTAGAAAGCAAATAAGATTAATGGCTCACCAAATAAGTAAAAATGCTGACAACTTACTGCATCCAATTTTCTTGCCCTCTGTTGTTTATCGCAAGAGTTGTCTGCATAACCTTGCTGTAAGATGGCTTTCCTATCCAGAGTCGTAAGGTCATCTGTGTTGGCTTCTTCATCTTGCACACACTATGCATGAAAGAAATAAATGAAGCATCATACACATATTTAGAATGTTTGTTTTTAACAAAATATGGGAATAGATAACTACGGAATATCTCAGTGACTATTTGTACAACAGTTAAAAGTACAGGCTCTGAAAATCAGATTGCTTATATTTGAATCCAGCTCTTCCACTTGCCCGCTAGGTGACCTCTCTGTGCCTCAGGTGACTTATAGATAAAATGCGAATTAATAATAGGAACTACTTCCCCAGAAACAAAAAGGATTAAGAGATATACATGTCCAACACTTTATAAAAACTACTTGACATAGTAAGCATTAAATAAAAGTTAGCAGCTATTATAATTATTATTGTCCAATTTGAATCTTTGAAAAATTAATAAATGTGGGCATGTCTACTCCATTATAAAATTAAATTCAGAAATAAAATACTAAAAGATGAGTGTAACCTTTGAGGTAAAAGATTCTTTGGGATGCTAAAGAGATAAATACCAAATTGTTCTTTGACTATGCGTTTACGCTACCCCAGCAAAACAAAAAAAAGTTTCCAATAAAATAGCAACTTTTCAAAAACTTAATAGATTATAAGATTTCTTCCCCCCAGGGCTTATTCTTACTTTAGATCTTCCTTGAAAGGTCACACTCTATCTTAATACTCCTCTCTGTCTTTATGACCTTTGATTGCTATATAAAATTTTGTTATATATATTTAGGATTTATTGCTTGCCTCTCCTAATGTAAGTTCCATGAAAGCAGGAACCTTGTCTGTCATTTTTATTGCTGTATCGCTGGTGGCAGAACAGGATAACACAAAGTGAGCACTCGATAAATATTTATTCAATAAATGAATAATGAATCTCGCTTAGGTATTTAAAAATCAATTTATGAAGATACTTTATCATTTTATTTATTTACCCACTAATATACTTCTTTCTAAATAGCGATTTATTTAAACAGGCACCAAAAAGATGCTTAGCATTTATAGGTAAATTAAGCAGATTAATTTAATGCATATATTTAAATATAAGCAAAGCATTGTATTTTGTTCAGGTTGAAAACACTTTCGAAATAATTTTATTTTGTGTCAGCTTGTTTTCAACCTTTTACAAAAGGAAAACTGATATTTCCACTTAATATTTCAAATTCAACCTTCCAAAATCAGACTTCCTTACAGTCTTCCCCTACCTCCAGTTAATGGTAACCCTCTTAGGCCAAAAGCCTTAGATCCATTGTTTTTTTATGTTAAAATATTTAACTGACATTAAAAATTGTAAATATGCAATGTGTACAGTATGATGATTTGATATACATATAGATTATGTAATCATTATCACAATCAAATTAATTAATACATCCATCACCACACATAGTTACCATTTGTATTTGTCTGCGTATATGTGTGTGTGTGTCATTAAGACATTTAAAATCTGCCTTCTTATCAAATTTCTAGGAAAAAAAATACAGTACAGTATGATTAACTATAATCACCACAAATACAGTAGTTCCTCAGAACTTATTTATCTTATAACTGAAAGTTCACATCTGTTCACCAAGTCCCCATTTTCCCAACCCCTCCCCCCGAGTCCCTGGCAACCAATATTTTACTCTCTGCTTCTGTGGGTTCAACTATTTTAGAGTCCACATATAAGTGAAAACATAGAGTATTTGTCTTTCTGTGCCTGGTTTAATGTCCTGCACATTCATCCTTGTAGAGTCATTCTCGGTCTTCCCTTTCTCTCAAGTCTATAACCAATCCATTCAAAAATCTTCTTAGCCCTACCTTCAGAATCTGTCAACAATATGACTTTGTGAGGCACTACGAAGTTCCAAGTCTGAAGCTACCATCACCTAGGTCCAAGCTATCATCGTCAAATTTTGCCTGGATTATTGTGACAGTCTCCTCAAAGGTCTTCCTGCTTTTATCTTTGTCCTATTCTCAATAAAGCCCATCCTCAAAAGAACGAAGTAGCTTTCTGCCTCACAGAAAAAGGCAAAGTCCTCCCTTGGCTTGCGTGGCGTCCCTGATCTGCCTCCCAAACTCCCTTTAACTCTCTTACCAACCTCCTTCCTTCTCTCCCTTGCTCTCCCTCCTTTGACCACACTGTCCTCCTCAATATTTCTTAAACACTCCTACTTCATGACACAGAGTTTCTCTTGACTAGCCTGCTCCTCAGGTGTATGCTAAAATGCTATCTTATCTAAAGGTCTCCCCTGTGATCCTATACAAGCTGCTATCCCATACCCAAAGCCCTGACTTTCCTAGATCCCTTCTATACACCACACTTTTCACCATGTGTCATACAAGCTGGGTTGACTGATTAATCATTCCATTGATTGATTTTTTTTTTCTCCTTGCCATTTCCTTCCATTAGGATATAAGCTCTTTAGAGGCAGAAATTTTTGTCTGTTTTATTCACTGACTTACCCCCAGTGCCTGGACAGGGGTATTGCATAAAGTTAAGCATTCAGTAACTATGTGTTGAAAGAATAAATAATAAATGAATAAATTATATTGATCATTTCTAAAACTAAAAGTTTTTTAGAGTGAAAAAAGAGGTATTTGAAATGAATAATGATAGGTACAATTAGGAAATAAAGATTATTTTCTACAAAATTGCAGTTTAATGATTTTCATGTTTAATTTCAAGATGTCTCATTATTTTAAAAATATATATGTACACATAAGTTTGCATTTTAGGTAACAAAACAATCTGACAACAAGAGATTTATCACCTTTTATAGTAAGTGGAAGGAAAACACAGCAAAGGAAATTTACCATTAGAATTGCCATGGTTTGGATGTTTGTCCCCTCTAAGCCTCATGTTGAAATTTAATCCCCAATGTTGGAGTGGTGTTTGGGTCATGGAGGTCGATCTCTCGTGAATAGATCAGTGTTGTCCCCTTGGAGGCGAGTGAGTTTTCATTCTATTATTTCCCAAGAGTGCTGGTTGTTCAAAAGAGCCTGGCACCTTCGCATGCTCTCTTGCCTCCTATGTTGCTATGTGATCTCTGCACATGCTGGCTTCCCTTGATCTTCCGTCATAAGTAAAAGCAACCTGAAGCCCTTAGCAAGTGCCTAATCTTCAACTTTCTAGCCAACAGACTCATGAAGCCAAATAAACCCTTCTTTCTTTATACATTACCCAGCCTCGGGTATTTCTTTATAGCAACACAAAATGAACGAAGACAAGAATCAAGTAGAGTCAAACTTCTATTTTGCAGTTCAACTGATTATCAGTTGACTCATGTATCATACTGATTAGTTAGCAATGATAGCCTTTAGTTCTTGCCCTGGATCCTAAATATTTCTAATTTTAGCTTTGCTTTACCAGTAAAGAGAATCAATTTACATGTTGATCTCTGCTTTAAAGAGGGGCTTATATTTCTGATATCAGGGATGTCTTCTGTTTCCAGAGATTACTAGTGTTAATTCATGTAATTGTAACAGAATTTACTACTAGGCCATTTATATAGCAGTTTTGATTCTCATAATGGTATACATTTGAAAAGATATCAAGTAAGTTCCTCAAACCCCTTAAGTACAAAATTATTATACAGAGAATCTACAGAAATGCTTTTTAACTAGAAGTTCTTCTATAAGACCACTAAAAACATATTAAACTTAATAATTTCACACCTTTAATATAGATTCTAAAAAATCAGTGGCAAAATAGCATATTTTCCAGAAGAATTTATGTGTATATTGGCTTCTATAAAGCTCTTTATTCTTATTATATACTTACCAATTTTATGGAAATATCTGCAAATAAAATTTGTTTTTCTCTTAAACCAAAAGTAAAAAAAGTCCTCATTTGAATTTGCATTCAAGGAAATAAAAGTTTTACTTAAAAAATATTTTGAACAATTTTGCTGCCACTCAGTAAGGCATGTGCTTACAGAAACCTTCATTCCGTTTTCCCAACATCTGTACAGTGATCTAAATATCATTTGGTATATCCTGCAAACAATACATGGTGAGATGCTAAAAGGTTATGAAATTATTTTGCCTACTATTATAGACACCAGATTATCATATTTCTGTGTTTATATTTGGGTCTGGAAAAATGTTTTCAAAATAAGAAAGATCAAATAATCCCATTAATTTTGTTACTCTTTCAGCTAATCACTGTGTGATTTATTTAATTCTAGATAGTTCCTACATGGATTAAAAAATAGCTGAAATGTCATACCCACTTATAAATTTATTATTATTTACCTACAGGAAAATGCTAAGCAAATACAACATTAAAACGTCCCTGGAAACACATTACTCTTATAGAAAGTTAACTGAATTAAAAATTCTATTAAAATTAAAATTAAAAATTATCTTCTTTATGGCCACTAGTATCATGTTTTTCAAATTATTCCTTCTAAAAATCAAGATTGACTTTTTCTGTATGATTATGAAAGCATTACAATTACTATGTTTAATTTATTATTATATTCATTAATAGTGAATTTATACCTAATATTACATAAAAACATAACAATTTCAGCAACACATGATGTTAAAAAATCATTTCCCATAATGAGACAAAAGACAGTAATGAAGTGATGGTAGTTTTTGCACAAACCAGGATCACCATAAAGTCTCAAATCACTTATCAATTTTAAAATTTAGACTGTCAGACCAACTGAGTTCAAGACAGCTACGTCAACAAAATACATAATACTGTCTTATTTCTAATCCCAAGGTACGTGAAAAACTTCTAACAGAGAAAAGGTGACAAAACTATATGGCTATAACTTTTTTGTCAGAAAATGATGACAATAACCCTTTAAATTTGTTGTGAAAAACAAACTAGTCAATGTAAGTAAAATATTTACAACAGTCCTTGATATGCAGAAATAAATGTTAGCTATTATACTTATTATGACTAATAGCAAGATATGTCACACAAAAAGAGATTTCTGTAATATGTGCAGTTTTCTTTAAATGTCATTAGAATTTTTTAAAGCCTCATACATTACCTTTTCATCTATCTTGTTTCTTGGAGACTGTTTATGTGTAACATTTGATTTTGTATTTTCTGCATTTCTCTGACTATACTGCTTATAGCCCTCTTTAATTTCAGTTTTACATTGCTGATATTTTAGTTTACATTTGTCTGTTGGTGCTGGCAAATTTTCAGGTATTATGTTCTGATCCTATAGGTAAAAAGAAAAAAGCATGCTATCAGAAAAAAAAAGTATTAATTTTCCTTATTGGCATTAACAGGTTTACCTCTTACCTTAGCATCCATTCCTTAAAAATGACCATTATAGTCAATGTTCTAAGCAGAGATGGTATTTAAGACATTCAACTGGTACAGACAGCATCACTGACCAATCAGAGCAGACAGAACTGCTCGGAATGGGCACTTACCTTAAATACCAGTAAGCTTATACCTTGTTTCCTAGCTGAAGATCCATTTAAGAGGAGAAAAAATGACTTATCTTTCTTCTTAGGAGTTTTAGATAAAGCTTTTCTTCTGCCCCAGAAGAACTTCACTGTAAATCATTTTTTTCATAATAGATAGAGCAATTGAAGATCATTAATACTGAGAAGGATTGGTTGTCATTTCTAGAATATCAATATATTCTATCTATTTGCAAACATGGAAATATTTGCAAATAAAATTTGTTTTTCTCTTAAACCAAAAATAAACAAATGTCCTCATTTGAATTTGCATTAAGGAAATAAAAGTTTTACTTAAAAAATATTTTGAACCATTTTGCTGCCACTCAGTAAAGTACGTGCTTACAGAAACCTTCATTCTGTTTTCCCACTATCTTTACAGTGACCGAAATATTATTTGGTTCCCTACCACATTTCCATGCGAGTGAGAGATAATAAGAGTCAGTGGATAAGAGAAACCTAAAAGAAGTGCTATACAAATACAAGGGCATATTGTATTGACCTAGGGAGGGACAGGCACTCCAAAACGAGCTTTTTATAAAGCCAGTCCAACCCTTGAAAAGTGTTGAGGATAGTCATGTCTAACCCACAGGAGAAGGATGAAGCAAAGCTTCAGGGTATTATTTATGCAATTTTCCAAAATGAAACTAAGAACATGAATAGAGTCAGCTGTATGAAAAGACTAACAAAAACAGAAAAGCCCTACACCTATACTAGTCAGAATCTATATTCAAATTGTGAGCAAAACACTAGATATGTTTGAAGCATAAACATGTCTCAAGGAGACAATCTGGAATGAGCATAGCTACTTACTCCATAGTATCCCAGCAGCCTAAAGCATGAATCAGTTTCCAAGAGACCAGTCTTACATTGCTTAAGCAGCAAGATCTGATCTAAGAGCTTGCCATATTTTTAAAATTCCTCAATTCCATATTAGGATATATGTGTACTTTACCAATTTCATTTAAAAATTTTAAAATACCAATTTCCATGTGCGACAAAATGTAAAACAAGTAAAAATTATTTCACCAACCTTATGGTTTGGTATTTAAATACATAAAATATTTAAACTTGGCAAAACATAGACTGAACATAATAAATATTTTAGAATAAAATTCTGAAAATTGATAAGCAAATAAATACTAACCAATTTATTTAGATGATACTGAGTATATGGAGTTTGACATGGTGTGACCCAGCCAAGAGTAGAAGATGAATTTGGCAGGTTTGCTGTACTAAGTGGAATATATGAAAAATTGTCCTAAAAAATAAAGTTAATGATATTTCTTATATGCTATGTGTAATATTGTGTTTTAATGTTTATTATATTAAATACTAAATAAAAATTACCTCATCATCAGAGTCAACAAGGCTTCCCAAATCAAGTCGTGGGACCCTGAAAGACATAATCTATGTATCCCGTAACTTTTTAACATGAAACTTTAATAAATGCAAATCTTATATGTTACATGTTTTATAAATAGGTACACTGAAACCAATAGTGCCATGGCTTCTACTGGCTTGTGATAGGCTTTTGTTAAATGTTCAGTAATTTTTAACTGGTTGTTAAACACATCCATCATTAAAAATACATATAAATTTATAATTAAATTAAATTATATTAAATAAATACTTGGCCGGGCGCAGTGGCTTATGCCTGTAATCCCAGCACTTTGGGAGGCCGAGGCAGGCAGATCACCTGAGGTCGGGAGATCGAGACCAGCCTGACCAACATGGAGAAACTCTGTCTCTACTAAAAATACAAAACAAGCCAGGCGTGGTGACACATGCCTGTAATCCCAGCTACTGGGGAGGCTAAGGCAGGAGAATCACTTGAACCTAGGAGGCAGAGGTTGTGGTGAGCCGAGATTGCGCCATTGCACTCCAGTCTGGGCAACAAGAGTGAAACTCTGTCTCAAAATAAACAAATAAATAAATAAATACTCAAAATTCATCACTTCCTGATGATTTCACTGTACTTCACTATTATCTGTGCTCTAGAGATTATCTATGTATCTATGTTTATCCCGTCTCTATGGTAGTGTAATAGTGTGCATCTCTTTCCAATGCTGTGCTTAGTGATGTCATATAGGCACACTGAAACAGCCTTGATGGGATTATTTACACTGAAATTGGCAAATGCTACAAATAGGACTTGGTTTAATATTTGGTTCATTTCTGAAACTTTAACAAGTGGTGGAGAAAATGTTAATAATGCAGATTCAACCTAAAATTATATCATGTCTATACCTGTCACACAGTGAATAGCCCCAAAATACACTGAAGAAACATGGTTTTATATTGAAAACTATTATTTGACTCAGCCAAGAAATCACTCATGTCACTTTTTAAAGTAAATAAAAATATTAACCAATATTCATGTTGGAACTACACTAGTTCATCAGTTGCAACCATAGGTTAGCTAGAGATACAGAGTTCAGCAACAAAACAAAGAGACAATTCTGTGAAAATCTATTGGCTACATGGAATCTACGAGAGAGAGACTATGTATTTGATTAATATTTGTAAATTGATTGCTACACATCCTTTATATCAGTAAAAGCTATAATCAACTTAATATATGCTCAAATTTCTTTATAATAAACAAGTAAAATTTACAATAAACTTATAATACACCTTCAGAAAATCAGTCCTTAAACTTTTCTCTGCACACAACTGACACAGCCATTGTTACTTACTCGATATCTTGGATCTAGTGCTTGCACCTAACTCTATTCTTTATGTCAAGATGAGCATACAGGTAATCTATCACACAGAACCACATAAATGTTGATGTTTATTCATTTTGATCTTCAGAAATGTCAATATTGTGTGGTTCAGCTTAGTAAATTACTAAGTTTTTAATTTCTATTTTTAAAAAAGCTCTGTAATCTAAAATACTTGAAAGAATATAAAAATTATATTATTCCAAATTTTAAAAGTCAAAATAACATGCAACATAAAACATAAATTAATATACTCTAAACCAAAAATAAAATAATTTTAAGATTCATAAAATTGTCATACTCCTCAAAATTAAAGCACAGACATAATTATCCTTAAATTGATGCCAACTAAATGAATTATACAAGGATAAAAATTTACACATCTCTTTAATGAATGCATATAGCTGAATTTTCCAAATAAACAAATATTTTCACTTTTTCAGGAAAATGTAAAACATATTAAGGAAAATAAAAAACCAAAGAAGTATTACCTATAATTCTACCATCTTATCACAACAGCTATTTTAATTTTGGTATAGTAATTTTCAGGCTATCCATATGCATATAGATTTTTCTGTGGTTCACAATCATAGCTACATTTATAATTTTGCTTTGTTTTTTAACTAGTCAATGTATGTTATATATGTGCCCATTAAACAGTCCAAATGTGAAGAAACGTAACTTACACTGGTGGGCAAGAATTCTGGTTTGTCCATGACTCAGAAGTCCACCTTTGCTTTAATTAAAAAAAAAACTTTTTGAATCAGTATAAATATGAATATACCCTTTATACTTTAAGAGATACACAATAAGTCAATGCAATAAAGCTAATTATAATTTTTCTCAGTAAATTCTATATAATAAATACTTATTAAGCCCCTTCCTACTGTGCTTGAGACACAGATAAAAAGGCAAGTAAGACAGATAATCCCTAACCACATAGCACTCTGCTGGAGAAGACTTTCTCTCAAATAAACAATAATGGGAAAAAAAAGTCTATAACAGAGCAACTACATAGCAGTATGCCCAACCTACTCTAGGGAATTTAGGAAGCTTGTTTTTTTTTGTTTGTTTTTTTGTTTGTTTGTTTTGTTTTTTTCTTAAGGCAACCTTTAACAGGAGTTCTGAAAGATGAGGAGGAGTTAGCTAGATGAAAAGAGAAGAAAGAAAATTGGTTCAGCTAGGAAACAACTTGTACTGCACAGGCCTCCAGATAAGAGTTAGCATTTGGAAAGGGGTAAAATCCAGAGTGTGAGGGGGGGTAGGGCCAAGCTGTTACATTATAGTACAAGTTAGGGAACTTAGACCTTGTTTTTAAGGTAATGGGAAGACAGTGAAGGGTTTGACAAAGAAAGTAACAAACATGTATGTGTTTGTAAACATTCAATCTTATTGCCAAAAAAACTGCAAGTCATAAAAATTACAGCAAGCTTAGCCACCATGAAATAGAAGATATATATGAGTCTTAGGAAAACTTCAAGTTAATGAAAATAGAAAATAATTCACCCATCAGCACTTATACCCTATTTCTGAAATGTTATCTGACTTGTGCTTTTTTTGTGATATTAGTAGCAACCGTAAAAATTCCATTCTACTATTTTTCTTTTTTTATATTTTCCTTAAACAAATATTCTTAAATAACAATAATAATACAATAAGTTTAATTTTAAAAAATAAAACTAATTCAAGCAGTGGCAATTTTTCAAGTAATCATTATCTTCAATTTTGGTGGTTCCATTCTTCAAATCTAGGAAATGTTGATCCTAAATATCTGTGAATATAAGTAGTCATAAAACATGAAGAAAAGGTAAAAAAATTATTTATAAGTCATCCTGAAAGAAGAAAATTATATAGAGCTCACATACTTGTAGAGGCTTCTTTCTTCCAAAGAATGGCTGAATTTGGCTCCTAGAAGTGGCAGCAACTCCTTTAACCTCTAAATCCATTTGAGTTCCTGTGTTTATCATGCAGTATACTTTGAAAAAGGTAGAGTAAATGTTAAATGGTAATTCTTACTCTAATTTTAAATAAGTCATACAAATTACCTAACAAGTCTACCTGGAAAGAAATCATAAGGTTAATCACTTCTAGTGCTTTTACCAATATCAACTTTTTATAGGGCAATTACATTATGACCTGTGTTAGTATGAATAATGGGCCCCCAAAGAAGGCCATCTCTTAATCCTCAGACCCTGTAAATATACCACCTTACATGGCAAAAAGGACTTCAGATGTGTTTGAATTAAGAATTTTAAGATGGGGAGATTATCCTGGATTCTTTGGTGGGCTCAGTGTAACCACCAGAATCCTTGTAAGAGGGAAGCAAGAAGAACAGAGTGAGACAGAGAAGATGTAAGGATGGAAGCATAGGTCAGAGAGAGGTGAAGATGCTAGGCATTCTGGTTCTGAAGATGGAGGAAGAGGTCATGAGCAGCCTCCTGAAGGCAGAAGAGGCAAGGAATGGATTTTCCTATGGCGCTTCCAGAAAGAACCTGCCCTGTTGACAGCTCGATTTTAGCCCCTTAAGACTAATGTTGTACTTCTGACCTCCAGAACTATAAAATAATAAATTTATGTTGTTTTAAACCACTAAGTTTAAATAAATTTTTAGAGCAACAATAGAAAACTAATGCATCTCCCTCTTCTCTAATACCACCATGACATATACATTTATTTCCTTTACTCATTTCCCAAACCTTTATGAGTTTTGGTTTTGCCAGAGTAGGCTGATGAAAATATTTTTAACAAGCAGTATTCTTCATCTAGAACAAAGAATAAAATGGAGTAAATGGTCCAATTAGTAATAATGTGGTGATTGGTAAAAATGCTAACAAAAGGATATTGAAAGTAATCAACTTGCAAATATGTACAAAATAAAAATCAAATGAATATATTTCATTGAAATTTTTTATATTTTATACTTCACCTTTATATTACCAAGGATAATTTTACATTTAAATATTTATCCATACTTTTTCTATAGTCTTAGATTTATTTTAATAGTAAATTATTTCTGTTTTGTTTTTTAAAGGAAAGATAGCATGGCATCCTGCCAGCTTGGAATTAGACAGACATACATTGTAATCCTGATTTTTGCCATTTTCTTATAATTTAAGTTTGAGTAAAAACTTAATCTCTATGAACCAATGTTTCTATGTAATATGTAAAATGAATTTAATGTTAGTAATTTTCCTGGTGGAATAATGTAACATTCAATAAACGGTAGCCATCATTATTATTACAATATACTTTATTTATTAAAATTAAGTATATTTATTAAAATTATTAAAATATACTTTATTTATAAAATTAATAAAATATATTATTAAAATATACTTTTATTTCATGCCCAGTGAAAGATATCCCAATTCCTTACTAATTTATCTACATGGTTCTCTTCACCCCATCCCTAGAGCTTCTTCCTCTAAAAATTCCTTGCCATAAGCTTGGAACTCCACTCTAAAGTCAAGGAGACTTATCAACCAATAGTAAACATATTCTGAAAAAAAAATACAAATCATTAGATTCAAAAATTCTCCTATAGCACTACAGATGGCTTTCTTTCCAGAGCTATTTTTCACAAAGAAGCAACTTTTAAAAGTTGCTGTTGTTTTGTTTTGGAGGCCAGGGTTGGGTTGGTTGTTTAATCACACAAATTATTGTATTCGCGATGATGATTTCTGGCTAACAAACCCAAGTTGAGATAAGGACGCTGAACAATCAGCAAAGTGATTTTCTCCACACATCAGTCTCTCAATTATTTATATCCTAGTAACATTTATAGCTATTTCAAATCACTATAGGTCATTTCAAATCAGTATAATTTATTTGCAAATTTAAAAAGCGGCAACATGTAAATCCTCAAATGTCCAGGTCCTCCCAGTTCCTGTACTTCCCCAGTCAGGACAGTCTTCACTCTTCACTGTCATTAGATTTTCTTTCCCCTAATAAACAGTCAAGACCAAGAAGGTTGGCGTCTCCCACCCTTAACAAAGCATGGGTAGTAAATATTTTGTTAATAAGTAAATTAATGTATAGCAAAATACATGTATACATTTTACACATATTCTTAGATTCCTTTCTCTGCATCTAACTGTAACATAATCACAATGCCAACATACAAATTCTGTCTTCAATTAGATAAGATGTTTAAAGCATTGCATTATAGCTATTAGTCTTTAATGCTAGACTGTAAGCCTCATATTTGCTCACCCTATGTCTCAGGATTTAGAAAGCCCACAATGTAGTAGGAACTTAACAAATGTTTGTTAAATAAGTGAAGTCAGTCAATTCGGAATGACAAAACACAAAAGTGGTTAACTTAGATATAGTAAGAGTATTCAAAGGGCAATGCCGTCATACATGGAACACTTTCGGATCTATGGAATTAGAGCAGTCAGGCAACTGACACCCTATGTAGATAATTTTAAGATTTTGACAGGGCTTCAAAGACAAAAACAGCTCAACCTTCTGATCTTCAAACCGAGCCAGCTGAGATCCAGAAAAGTGAACTGTACTTCGCTAAATGTTTGCCAGTTATTGCAGACCCGAATTCACACGTGGGTTTCAGATCTCTTTTCAGTACTACATCCTCACTGGTAAAGGTAATAGAAGAATTCGAGGGGAATGAGCTGTAGGGACTAAAAAATTAGAAACCTAAACTTGGTGGCACAAGAATCAGCAAACAACTGGCTGTGAGTGAATCTTTGAAACCTATGCCAAGGGTTGTCTTTGTCATTAAGCACTGAATATCCAGCTGGGCTATGTTGGAGATAGGGAGTAGCAAAAGGAAGGGAAAGCACTTCTAAATGGCTTCTGTCCCCACTTAAATGGCTGCATGTCATGAGATGATATTGCTAGCATATAATAAATACTGTTGGCTAATGTCTTTAGTGCTACCAAAAATAACTGAACACACTTCCCATTTCCCTCATTTTTTTTTAAGGATGACTATTTCCACTTCCAATTATTATCACTTCTCTCGGTAGTAATATTACTGGCTATTATGTTACTTATATCAAATCAGAAAAAAATGAAAAGCAAAAAATAAACTGATTTAATTCAGCCCATAAATAAGAAAAAAAGAAAGAGATGTAAATACAATTTAGTATTTAAGCTACATGAAGGTAGGGACCAAGTCTATGTTGATCCCAGACGACTACAGACCCAGATATCTGAATTGAAACTTAGGTCATTCCTAATTTCAAGCAAAACAGGGTAATATCTCCTTTCACCCCATCACTCCCCCTGCTCCCAAATTATATTATAATTCAGAGCACCTGCAGTGTAGCAGAAGGAATTCCCCATCCCCTACCTAACTGGGATTCCTGGACAGGACAGGCGAGGGGCACAAGAGACAGTCAGCCTGATTTCACCTAACAAGCTCGGTAAGAAGAGGTCCAGAGTTAGAAGAGTTGGAAAAGGTATAAACTAGCGCGATTCCTCCAAAAACCGCATTCAGAAAGCTTTAGACAGGACAGTCTAGACAGTCCAGGCCCGCGTCTGCAGGTTGCCCGGCAACAGGCGCCGCAGCGCAGGGCTTCTGATTACACTCTGACCTCCAGGGACGAAAAGGTCGTCGGCCCAAGTCCCTTGTTCGTTCTACGCCACCTCCCGCCCCCGCCAATCTGCCTCCTCAGTTCCGCTGCCTGGCTGACCGGAACTGAGCTTGTGGCCGGAGACCCCGCCACGCTCTCAGAAGTACTTGCTGGCTGGAAAACCCAAAGGGGTGAAACCTCAGCTACAGCCGCCGCAGCCTCCCAGGGAACCGGCTCCGCGGCGCCCCTAAACCCCGGCGAGGAGCCGGAGCGGACTCACTCACCCGCGCTTCTCCTGAGCAGGGAAAGGGCCAAAGCCCGGCCCGGATCCACGGCGGTTGTTGTGTAATTCTTTGTCTAATTGAATTCTGTTTAACATATTTCATAAGGCACCTGTCTGTGCACAGAGCCCAGAATGACGTTTTGAGGAGAAGAAATTTAAGCATATGCTACAATATCTGCTCTCAAGGAGCTTGCACTTATTTTTTTTAAAGACTGTAATATATTATATAGAGATACATAGATATTAGACATGGATATTACTTTAAATTTGTGTGACTATGTACATATAGATGATTACATGAATAATTGCATATATATGTATGTGTATTTGTGTGTGTATATATAATTAAAATTTAAAATGATGTGTGGAAAGGGCAAAGGCCTAGAAATCAAGAAACCTGCATTTTATTCTTTGCCTTTTTTTTTTTTTGAGACGGAGTTTCCTTCTTGTTGCCCAGGCTGGAGTGCAATGGCACAATCTCGACTCACTGCAACCTCTGCCTCCCAGGTTCAAGCGATTCTCCTGCCCCAGCCTCCCAAGTAGTTGGGATTACATGCGCCCACCACCACGCCCGGTTAATATTTTGTATCTTTATATAGAGGGGGTTTCACCATGTTGGGCAGGCTGGTCTCGAACTCCTGACCTCAGGTGATACCCTGCCTCAGACTCCCAGAGTGCTGTGATTTACAGGCATGAGCCACCATGCCCGGCCTAAATATTTTTATGTATGCTCTGTACACAATATCTTGGCATCAACTCCTCATCTATAAAGGGAAAAAGCTGGTTTGAGATAATTCCAAGGATCCACTCCACTCTAATATGCACTAACTTTCCTAAATTACACAGCCAAGAGTCAGATATTCAAATTAGAAGTAAGAGTTTATGAAAGTTAATCCAGTTCTTTCATAATCATGTTTTTCTAATCTGCAGTAACTTTTCAAAATTAGCTCCCCTCAGAATGTATGTATCAAAACGTGAATATTTCCAGTATTTCCTGGTGCAAATTTGGGAGTAAAAATACAAATAAATTTTTAAAGTATAAAAATAGTGAAGGAAATGAGGTATAATGTAATCACTCTGTATTTTTCTGCTGCACTCCATAAAATTCATCTATCCATTACCCCCACATAGAAAGAAAAGCAAAAATAAATAGCAGAAAACACACATAAAAATAAAACAGAAAGCTAAATTTAACTTTTTTTTTTTTTTGAGACGGAGTCTCGCTCTGTCGCCCAGGCTGGAGTGCAGTGGCGGGATCTCGGCTCACTGCAAGCTCCGCCTCCCGGGTTCACGCCATTCTCCTGCCTCAGCCTCCCAAGTAGCTGGGACTACAGGCGCCCGCCACTACGCCCGGCTAATTTTTTGTATTTTTAGTAGAGACAGGGTTTCACCGTTTTAGCCGGGATGGTCTCGATCTCCTGACCTCGTGATCCGCCCCCCTCGGCCTCCCAAAGTGCTGGGATTACAGGCGTGAGCCACCGCGCCCGGCCTAAATTTAACTTTTAAAAAGTTATAAAAGAACTTAAAAATTCTGGTGCACCAACTAACCTTGGCCATTCCAGAAATAGATGTTCAAGAAAATAACATTAGGACATGCACTTGTTGATTCCTGGCAATTAGACTTTTTACACCTAAATTGTTTTAGTATTTCTGAATATAGCTGTCTAAGCCATTGGGAACATGATCTAAAAAACATAATGTATACAATTCAGACATTTTATTAAAAACGTCTCTTAGAAGAGCAATAATCTTGGATTATGTTTGACTATATATACTCTACTTTTGCCAATCTTTAAATTCATTACTCTATGAAATTTCTGTTGTTGTTACAGGCAGTTAATTTCTCTATACACTAAATGAAACTAAATTAGCTATCTGTTAACCTTTATCCCTATTAACCTTATCCCTATCAACCTTTACTGTTTTGCAGTTCCAAAAGAGTTTGCATTTGAAGCTCAACTTTAAATTTTCATTTACTTGATCATTCATTAATGCAGCCAACATTCACTGAGTACCTACTACTTGAAAATATTTTACTTTATCTTTGTATTTATTTGTTCATTCAGCCACTTATGTATTTGACAAACATCCACTGAACACCTTCTATCTTCAAATATACCCAGTGTTAGAAAAAGTGAAATATATAAGCTTACCCAGCATTTCCTTTTATGTGATTAAGTCAAAAATATTTATTGAGCCCCTCATATGTATATATACATATATATAACAATTAAAATATAGTTTCTGCTCTCAAGAAGCTTACAGTTGTATACAACATTATTAGAAAGTTAAAGAGAACTCATTTATTTATTCGACCAATTTTTATTGAGAGCCTAAAGATTCAGTTCCTGTTCAAGGTGCTAGAGATGTAGCAATGAAGAAAACAAAGCTACTGTTGTGGTGAAGGCTACAATCTGATAGAGAAGGCAGATGTTAAAAAAATAAATAACATAAATTCAGGAGGTAATTAATGCAATGAAGAAAAATAAAACAGGTTAAATGGATAGGCACTGACAGACAGGGGATATAGAATGATCAGGGAAGACTTCACTGAAGGGAACTCTATAAAGAGCACTGCAGGCAAAAGTAACAGCAAGTGCAAAGATGCTGAGGAGAGAGCATCCTTATCAAGCTGATGGATGTGGCTGATGCAGAATAAGCCAGGAGAGAATGCCAGAGAACTAGCCATGGTCAGATTATGTAGTGTCTTTTGGGCCATACCTAGGACTTCAGATTTTTTATTGTAGCCCCCCACTGTAATGTGAGCCAATTCCTTAAAAGTTCTCTTTCTCTTTGTATACAAACATATGTATATGTATATATGCCTATAGACATCTGTATCTCTCTCTGTGTAGATGTATATATGTCTATAGGCAGACACACACACATATATGTGTATACAAACAGATTTATACATAGAGAGAACTTTACATATATAAATGTATGTGTGTATATGTATGTGTGTATATGCCTATAGATATCTTTATATCCAGGAAGAGACATATATATATAGACACATGTAGATGTATATAACTGTATTGATTTATCTATCTGTATACCTACACACACACATATACACACACACACACACGTATATATGTTCATGTCTTTGGGTGTGGGATATCAGAAGCTCAGTTTGGACTATGTATGTGATATGAAAGTAGTATATACAGCAATTCTCCATTAGCTGGTAGTAGACTAGAAATATATTATCTATTGCCCAGTAGAATTTCCATTAGGATCCTTGCATTTTTCGTTTTCTTATAATCTAATTTTCTGCTTTTTATTTTTAAAAAGATAGTAGCTGCATCAAAGTAGTTTGTTTTGGTTTTTGTTTTTTGTGTCAAGGTTGACTATGGCGGATCATTCAGCAGATGTAAGTACGTGTTCACTTGAATTAAACAGCATTGTAAACAACTTCAAATTACTAAGTAAAGGTATTTATTTGAAACATAGAAATACTAAAAAAAATTAATGTCATGGGGAAAAATGCTGGTTTATTACAGAATATCAATATAACTGATGTAATGAATTTAAAACATTAAGCCAAATGACGTTGATTTATATTGCATTGCAGGTAAAATAGACAATCAAATGTACTCTGTCCATCCCAGTCTCAGTGTATCAATTAAAGCAACTCTTGGAGTCTACCAGTCACCATACAGTGGCTCTGTTCCAAACTATCAAAAAGGGAAGATTTTGTCAAGAGGAACTACTTGGCTACATTTTCCAAGCATCTATTGTTATCTATCTAAGCATTCGGTCTCTTCAGACGAAAAAACAGAAGGAAATTATTAAATGTTTGACAAGTTGATAATTTAGGATCACTGTATGTCACTGTATAAGAATTGCCTATTCTTACTCTATTCCCAATCTCTGAGGGAAGTGGCAATATGATTCTAGATTATTTAGAACAATAAAAATCTATACACGGAAGCTGCGTCTAAGAAACGAATATATAGTGCTTTGCACTCGACTGGCCCATTGTCAGCATCCCGCACTTGTTCTTTACCTAACTTGTGTGGCTTGCATATTGCAATCTGTATTACAATCCAGACGCGCTCTGCAGATTACAGATTGGATCCACAGAAAGCAGTTTGGATGGTTGAAATTCCCTCCACCAGAGGGCGACTCAGAGCTTTCCCCTGTAGCTCAGAGCTTTGTGGAAGGGGAACCCTGCTGCCTGTTCTTCCCCACAGCGACACTGACAAGTTGATCCAGCCGCGCTGGGCTCGAGCCTGTGCGGCAGGATGGAGCCAAGGGAGAGCGTGGTGCGGGGGCGTGGGGAAATCGGGTTGCCCCAGCCGTTACTGGTCCGCGCAGTCAGGGCATCCTCCGCATCCTCCACATCCTTCCATGGCTCTGAAGAATAAATTCAGTTGTTTATGGATCTTGGGTCTGTGTTTGGTAGCCACTACATCTTCCAAAATCCCATCCATCACTGACCCACACTTTATAGACAACTGCATAGAAGCCCACAACGAATGGCGTGGCAAAGTCAACCCTCCCGCGGCCGACATGAAATACATGGTGAGAAAGAACCAGGGCTGGGCTCTTAAATCCCTGACTCATCCTGAGGTATCTGGGTGATAAATTTCACGGACTTAACTTGTACTAATTCAATCCGGACTTTACATATATGCAGTTAAAAAGAAAAAAATTCACACCTTGGTTGGGCTGTCTCCTCCAGAGTCATAGGAGTGAACAAGAAAGGAAGACTTGAAGCTGTTCCTTGCCTCTTGCGGGGAAGGTGGGGATGCTGGAGCAGTGTTTGGAAGTTGCTTTGTTGCACCACTAAAGTTATAAGTACTGAACACAGGATTATTTTGTTTTCTTTCTTCCATTTTTTAGCTAGCAATTTCCACCCCCCACAACCAAGATACAAGATACCAAAGAAATAGCCCAGGAATGGAGATTCTCTTGTTCTCTTACTTATTTTTATATCATATGAATCCAAGATCAAAACAACACTTCATGTGTAGTATTATTTGAAAAAAATACAGTACTCTATTGAAGAATAAGCATAAAAAGCATTGGATTATTAAATAATCCATAGAATTTACAAAATTTTAAATACTTGACTATGAATTGTATGATTGGAAATTTCCCTTGCATTGTAACTTTTTCTTGTTTATAAATGCATCACTATGAGCATAAACGTTGATAGTATTAGTCTATTTTATGTGCTATGCAGATGTAGATACAGTATAACTCATATCTATTCCAGCTTTCTTCTTTTCTATCCAGTGGAAAACAAAAGTAATTATAAAATCACAACTCAGGCATTAAAATAAGTTCAAAACTGTACTAGTCTACTGTATAAGAAAATTATATTTTGATGGAGAAAGATTCAAATATGTATCAGAAATGAAACAAGAATAAACTAATCTCTTTAATGCAGAATTGTTAAGATATTTTAATATATAATGTTTACCAGCTTGGGGTTGTCCAAGGCATAAATTAACTAGAAATAAATCTTCAACGGAATTCAGAAATACTAATATTAGTATTAATATGGTTGATGCCTTTAGAGTTTTATTGTAAATGTATGATAAAAAAGAGTAAATGTGGGGTTAAATATAATAAATGTTCTTTATATTTCTTTTGTACTCATTGACTATTTAAAGCAAAATATGATAACAATGAATTGTGGAGTTTATAATAATGTAGAAACTAAACACATTATAACCAATGCATAAAAAATGAAGTGAAGTGTCAATAGAATTATTCTGCTGAAAGTTCCTTATATTGTTAAGAATCACAATAATATTTCTGGATGGACCGTGAGAAGTTAAGAATGCATATTTTAATATCTAGGATAACCATTAAAAATATACAAAGAAGTAGAGCTAAAAATCCAGTAAGTAGAATACTAAAGTCCTTGATTAATTTTTGGAAAACAGGAACAAGGAACAAAAGAACAAAGAGGGAATCATTTAAAAATAGCAAATGGTAGACTAAAACTTAACCATGTTAAAATTACATTAAATGCAAATGACTACTACATACTTTAATTAAAAATAAAGATTATCAGATTGGATTAATGCTTTTGTAACAGAAACATATCACAAATAGATTAAAGTAAAAAGATGGAAAAAATACATTATGCAAACTCTAAAATTAAGATAGAATAGCTATATTTATGGCTACTGAAGTAGATTTTAAGACAAGGAGAACTACCAGAAATAAAAGGGGACATTTAGGAAAATAAAAGGGCTAATTCAACAAAAGACACAGCAATCTTCAATACAAATAAATGTAATAATATATTTTAATACACAAAAATTGGCAAAAGTAAAGGGAGAAAGAGACAAAACAGTCATAGAGATTTTAATCTTAGTGAGTAAGAGAACAAGTAGGTAAAAATCAGTAAAAATAAAAAAGATTTGAACATCAAACAATTTTACCTAATTGACATTAAACAATTTATACCACACTGCAAAATACAAATTTTTATCAAGTATTCATTACATTCATCAATATAAACAATATGCTGAACCATAAAACAAGTCTCAATAAATTAACAGTATTTGAAATTTTGTCCTATATCTTCTGAAAAAAAAGTCTTAAACCAGAAATAAAGTGTGCAAAATCTCCCAAAATGTGAAATCAAGCAGCACATATCTAAATGGTCCATAAGTTAAAGAATAAATAATAATAGAGATTACTATAATTTAGATTTGAATGTTAATGGAAACACAGCATATCAAAATTTGTGGGATATAGCAAAAGAAGTGTTTGGAAGCATACGTATAGATTTAAATGAATATTTTAGGAAAGAAGAATGGTTAAAAATCAAGACCTATTCTTTCAACTCAAGAAGGTAGGAAACAAGTTTAAATTAAGCACAAGAAAATTTTTAAAAAACTAAAGATGATCATAATTTGATGAAATTGAAAGTAAAAGTATGAGGACTAAAATCAATAATATCAAAAGTTGGTTTAAAACTATATATTAATAAAATTGATAAACCAGTAGTAAAAAAAAGATTAATGAAGAAAGACACAACTCAAAAATCAATTTTAGGAATGGAAAATCACTTTTAAAAAACTCCACACATTAAATGGATAGATAGAGAATATTTTGAACAAATTTATACTAATAAATTTTACAACATAAAGAAAATAAATGGACAAATGTCTTGAAAATCAGCATTTTATAAAATTGACACAATATTTTGATATGTTGTTTATTGAATGATTACTAGTGAATAAGTGCATAAAATGCACTAGTTTTAATGTACAATTTTTTTTACATATGTATACGTCAGTGAAACTACCTACCTCAAGATTGGAATTTTTATTTCATATATGCGTGCCATGTTATTTATCACATAAAGTCTCATAAATATTACATTCCGTACTATGTGTCTTATAAAGTAACATTAAATCCTTGAACTTTGCCTAATAAAAGTATTGCTTATTTTTTTATTTCTTTGATTTCTATTATTATTTTTCGACTATTGTCTTCTTTGTCTTGTACAAATGAAAGAATCCGGGGTTAGAGATTGACTTTGAACCCAATATAAATCTTTTAACAGGGATATTTAACCAATGTATGAATGAGATCATTCATCTGCATCTTCATCAATCTAAATAGTCTTATGCCATTACATAAATTAAATACGTAATTTAAAATATTCTTAACAGAAAATTCAGGTGAATTCTAAGAGAAAAGCAACACCAATCTTATACAAATCTCTTTGTGAAACTGAAAGAGAAAACCTTTTGGAACTTTATGAGTCAACTTTTACCCTGACACCAAACCAGAAAAAACATTACAGGTTAGAAAATTATAGCTCAATATAGATGCAAAAAATCTTCAACAAAATTATAATCAATTGAATCCAGCAACACATATAAAGAATATTATATCATGGGATTTATCTCAGGAATAAAAAGTTGAATTAGGACTTGAAAATTAATCAACATAATCAGGAACAAAACTGGAAACACCATTAACAGAAAACTCCCCAGAAAATGAAAAATCTGTGAGAAATCTGACTTGGATTGGGGGAATTTAATTGCTGTTTACAGTCTGCCACTCTTCATAGATTCAATGAGAAAAATTATATGATCATCTCAATAGAGTCATGAAAACCATTTGGTAAAACTCTGCATCAATTCCTTTTATTTCATTTTTTTTCCATTTTTTCCTGTAGGTTTTTTTAATAATAGTTTTGGGGAAACAGGTGATGTTTGGTTGCATGGAAAAGTTATTTTTTTTTTCAGTTTTTAAGTTCTGGGGTACATGTGCAGGATGTGCAGGTTTGTTACACAGGTGAACATATGCCATGGTGGTTTGCTGCACAGATCAACCAATCACCCACGTATTAAGCCCAGCATCTATTAGCTATTCTTCCTGAAGCTCTCTCTCCTCCCACCGCCTTCTGCCTACAGGCCCCAATGTGTGTTGATCCCCCCATGTGTCCATGTGTTCTCATTGTTCAGCTCCCACTTATAAGTGAGAACATGTGGTGTTTGGTTTTCTGTTCCTGCATTAGTTTGCTGAGGATAATAGCTTCCAGCTCCATCCATGTCCCT